>NC_000007.14:82809809-83112839 GCF_000001405.40 Homo sapiens
ATCAGAGATAACTTTACTCTGTCATACTGTATAGAAAAAGGTGATCATTCAACTATATTTTTTAACCCCAATCTCCCAAAACACTGGTTTGATTGAAGGAAATATTTAATGAGAATACACTAACCATCAGAGATTATAAGCTTATGAATTTCAAAAAGTTCATAATCACAAATATTACATATATATTTAAAATGAAAGTGACAAAAGAAAATAATATGTAGAGTAACATTCTGTGGGAGCCAGCACTATTACAGACTCTAGAACTTGTCCTGATCCCATGTTTGTATGTAGGTAGTTGGAGAGCTCTGGGTTATATTTAAGTGTAATATATCTCTATTTTTTATGTTATTGAGGGAAATAATATTTTAAACACACTAAGTATAATCTTCCATAATTTTATAATTTCAAAATCAAAAATTTAGAAATATTCAACTTCTGCTTTATTCTTCCAACTCTTTTAATTAGAGTTTCAGAAACCAAGGACCTACTATGTGTGAATGTATTACACACCTGTGTATTACATATGAAAAAAGTTTATATAAACATTGAGAGGCTTTTCTTAGTAATAAGATACATCTTTGGGGCCATTTTTTATGAATTACATTTTTGTGTCTACTTTCTTTTTGAAATCTTAAGTGTATTACTAAGTACCAAGTAAAGGAAAGAGTGGATGCTATAAATATATGATAGAATCAGCTCACTCATAGAAAGGGTCCTGTGCCCTAAAAGAATAAATCTTAGAACGTTGAATCATTTTTGTAACTCAATTAATTGAGGGGGCATTTCAGGTAAACAAATGTTACCTTCTGTGATGCAATTCAATCTGTTTTAAATTATTCTTTGACCATTTCACTTTCTTTGGCTGTTAGATGGTTCAACATCATTGTGTTTTATTACTCCATTGTGGCTAACCTTAATTAAATCGGTAGTGTCTCTTTGACTGCACATCTGTCTTCAATTAGTTTGCTCTGTTGGCTTTTCTTCCCTCTACCACACAGTACTTAAATATGCAAAGCTATCACTGTACTTACCACATGATGGCAGCACTTTGCTCTGAGAGCACGGATTAAATTGTAGACTTCACTTTTACTACTTTTATATCACATCCAGTTATCTGAAATTTAAAAGGCAAGGTCTCTGCCTATCCTACTAAATTCCAAAAAATTAGTGTTTGGAATGTAAATAGGTTGCTGTCTATGATGTTCCATTATTGGTTTTATATCTTTGGTCCAGCACAGAGCTATTTCCAAATATTCTGAGGAGTAATTTATTATGTAGGTAGCTTGTACTTTCCCAAATTACTTGGTTAATACAGTAGTAAATATCTTCCTAGATACAGTCTCTAAAATTTTAAGATTAACCGAAATAAAAAGCAATCAATAATTTTGTTTATTCCAATACTTAATGATGGAACGGAAATAACTACCTAGCAGTTTTAGAAATCAAGTATTTGGGAATTTTTACCCCCTGTAGCTAGCTTTAATTTAGCTAGTATTTACTTCAGGTACCTTTCTCCTCTCTTTCTTTGTTTCTTTCTCTGTCCATCCCTCTTTCCTTTCCTTCTTCCCTCCTCCTGTCTCTGTCATCTACCTGTTGTTATTGCTGTTACTGTTTTTGTTTTTTGATATTTTTACTAAAGGGATTTTGCAGTTTTATCTCATGTTTTAATTTTCTTTTGAACGTGGACCTGAAAATTTCAGGTTTTAAGTGTCATTGTGCCAGCATTATTTGGAATGTTTTCCCTTGAATTATGTACAATCACACTTCATGTATGTTTTCTATTACAGTTCAGGGGTTCTAGTTTAAGAAGAGGTACTGCATCTTAAAAGTAATTTAGAAGTTTAATTTTTTTCCAAATCTACTTCAGTATAATTATTATCTATTTGGGAAAATCTAAAGCAAACTGGACACTAGAAAAATGGGCTAGCTTCAATAGAGCTATTTGTAGTTTTCACACACCACCAAATCACAAGTTTTCACAAATACAGGTGTTGAAACTCTGATATCTCTATCAGTCATTTGTAAGTCGTTAGGCATGGAAGTTGAAGGAAGGATGTCATTGACAATTTCTTTTTTAAATGACAAATTATTAGATGACTATTAGTCATTACAGATATATTTTATATATATATGTAAACAATATATCTATTATAAAGGTATGACAAGTCATGAGAAATGGAATGTTGCAGGCTTTTTTCTTATAAAAATAAAAATATTTCCCTTAAGATATGTCATATTCACATAGTAGCTCCTTTTAGAGAAGAAGATGAAGACGGGTTGCCTCCATTTGCTGTGTTCCAGAAAGATGGTAAATCTCGTATATTCACAGTTTTCTCTCTCCATGCACATTGGCCTTATGACTGAATTCTTAATGACATCTTAATGAACAATTTAGTTTGTTTATAATGATTCATTATCTGGCTTTATAGATAATAAGATCAATGATCACTTCAGGAAACAGAAGTAATCGTATAAAACAATGTAACAAATGAAAATGAAGTTAGCTTAACTAATAGCACGGTATAGAGGAATTTTTTCTTACATGAAAAAATACATGTTGGCTCCGTATACTATAATCCTTGCTTTTAAAAGGAAATCATAATGTTGCCTTTTAAGTAGGTCTTCCTTTTTTTGAGGGGTTTTTAGTTCAGAAGTGATTTTGGAAGAAACCACTTAAAATATAGTTTAAGTGAGAATTAAAATTGTATAGTAAATAATGAAAGAAAGTTTGACTAAGACATTATCATAGATGAAAATTAAGAAAGTAAATTCATTTTGTCTTTAATAAATTCAGGCCGTAATTCCAGCTATGTTCGAATAAATAGAATGAAAAAAGAATGTATCCAGTGCTGAGTTCCGGTTTGGTGCTATAAAATGCAAATACAATAATGATCTTTATCTTTAAAAGATTAATAGCATGGGGGATCATATGTGAAAGAAAAAACATTCAATTTTGAGCTACATCAAATTTTCATGGGCGATTTTTAATTTTTCAATCTTCCTTTTATTCTCTTTTGAAGCAGAAGCATTTTCTTTCTTGCTGTTTGCTTGCACTACACTTGCATTAGGCTGTCAGATAGGTATTTCCAACTGACAATTGGAGAAAAAAAAAACTCAAGCAGGAATAAAGACTACTGTAAAACATGCAGGTTTGTTTGAGTAAAAAGTCATTCTAAAAATAGTCATTTTGAAAAAAGTTCTTACATAATCCTGAAACTGTGAGAACTTACATCACGACTGCTTAGATAACAAGAATGCTGTCCTTAAATGGAATCCGAACATTTTGAAAATTCATTAAATTTTGCCCAAATGAAAAAGGTTGAGCACATTTCCAGTTTGTTTTCATATTATTCCAATTTGGTCAATGGCCACGAAGTAAAGAGGAAGTTTGGACAGTTATTTGATAAATGCACGTCTGGTCTCATGAGACCTAACCTCTCTAGCTAATGTCATTAATCTTTCTCCAAACAGATTATATTAATGATCTATTAATCTATAACAATCATTTCATCAATCTTTCTCCAAATAGATCCTTAAAAAATACTTTCTGTCTATATATAGATGGTTATATTGCAGTGGATTGTACAGGTTATGATAGAACCAGAGGCAGAACAAATAAATTATAATTAATTATATTTTCCAGATATTTTTAAACATGATGATGTTTGGTTGCACCTAAATGTAAATCAGTGACCAATTGCATTTTTCTTTTTCCTCTCAGTTGAAGATAGACAAAACTCACTTTTCTGACTCTTCATAATTTTTTCCAGATACCTTTAAATTGATTATTCAATAAATATTACTAGCATGAGAGATTCATGAAGACAGTAATATTTGTCTATTTTGTTTGCTGTAGTATCACCAACACCTTGAAGAGGTTCTGTGACATTATTTGCACTAAAAATAATATCAGCAAATGTATGTAAAAATGATGACCTAATAAAAGTAATTCAGATCATATTTTTCATAAATGATAAGCACGTTTGCAAATATCCTTTTGGCATTAAATATTTTGAAACTCATCAAATTATATACTTGAAATTGAGGATCAAGTATTTCGTAAGAAGCTTTCCATTTTTCCTCAAATTTGAATGAAAGTGATAATCTTCAGTTTTTCTATTGTTATGCCAATACAATTAATTTCCACTATATGGGATCAGTAATGTAGATAATGGAAGATGAAATTAATTGATAATTTATAAACAACTGTTTTTCTATAAATGTTACTTTCAAGATAAGAACAAAAAATTTTATTCTACCTTTATAACACTTCTGTCACTCTACTTCAGCTTGGAAGCAGCTTGATTAAAGCTGATAGGCAACTTATGAAATTTCAAAAGGAAAAAGTAACAATTACGGATGTGTAAATATAATTTAATCTATATCATTCCCAATAAAATAAAAAATTGCTATATAAATTGAAAAAATGTCATTTGTCAATCTTAATAATTATAAATTAACATCAAATGAGAAAGGAAAGAAGGGGTTCTGAAATGCAATAGAAGAGATATATAAGATACAGAAAATTTGGAGACAAACATGATAAACATGTTTTGGAAGAAGTCCTTGGTTATTCAGTCTTTGACTATTGTAAAAATTATGATTGTGCATAAGTCTAAGTTGGTGACTTTTATATATTTTTAAGCTTAAATATATTTAAACACTTCAACATAATTTAATTTATAATAATTTATAAATTATAATTTAATATACTTAAATGTTTAAGCTGGACAACAAGCTTAAATATTTTAGTCTTATCTTAGAACTTATTTAATAATCCAAAGAACTTTATGTTATGTAGGTTATATCTACTGATATTTATCATATTCAAAATAAATAAAACATTAAAACAAAAAATCAACAAGCACATATTCCATTAGTCATCAAAGCAATGATAACATGACACCTTATGTAGCTGCTGGAAAACTCCACTGTACACTCGAGAAAAAAATGAGAGCAAAAAAGCAAATAACATGTTAATCTTCTCAAGAATATTTTGACCTTGCAGATCCCTGAAAGGGTTTCTGGGACATCCCCCGCCCCTACCAGGAATCAGTGAGAATTACTGGTCAAGACCCACAGTCATGGAAATGAAGTACTGTGAAAAATGAGAAGAAACTGATTAGCATCAGTTTCTTTGACAGTCACCTTAACAATTACATATGTCAAGATCATTTTATCATGCTATTTATTTTTAATTTTGTGTTTTGTACTGAAAAAAATATCAAGTTTTCAGCTTTCTTGAAGAGATTCATTATTGATATTAGCATTCATTTTAATTGTCTCTAAGCTTCTTGTTTCACTCAGAACTTCACAACTCTAGAAATATATGGCATGAATTAAAAATATATTTTATCATAAAATCTTGTCTATTTTTGGTTAAAAACGAACAAAACAAGAAAATAACTATGTTATTGTGCACAGAAACCCGGAGTAAATAATGATAATTGGCAGGCATAAAATAATGCAGATTCTTCCATAAAGAGGTTTTGTGTTCATAAAGTATCTTTTGTACATTAATAATAGTTGGATGGAAGCAAAATGGTGATTCAATAGTTATTGACTTTATTAAATGTCATTGGCAATGAGGATGCTTTAAAACAAAAACTACATAATAGACCTATATAGAAAGACATTTGAATTAGGTAGTTGTAAAAATATGTTTTCTATATTTCTCTATATTCCAAGTTCTTTTTATAAAAAGAATCAGATAAAAATACAGTGTGATCTATAGAACTTGAAATACATGGTTTTCAATTTGAAATGTTTTAATGAGGAAAAGTGAATTTTGCTATGTTCTTTTTAAGAACAATATGGTAGAAATTATATTTCTCTACCTTTCTTATACATTTGGAAATAGAAACCTGTGATCCTGACTTTTACCAAACATTTCTTCTGAAAAATTTTTCTGCCTTGTTTGAGTTGTGGTATTAGGTTGGTGCAAAAGTGATTGCCGGTTTTGCCATTACTTTCAATGGTAAAAACCACCATTACTTTTTGCACCAACCTAATATTATTTTGATTAATCTGTTCAAATTATAATTAAATTAACGAATTATACTTTTCAGTATCTAAAACACATTAAAATATAAAATGATGGTTAGATCTACGTCATTCCTATTCACACATCTACCAAACTCAACACCCCGATCAAAATTTTATATTTCGGATATAATTTGGTTTCATTTGAAAATTCATGTGTTTTTGGCTTTTTAGTGATTCATTATATATTTACATGTACAGCACAGTAATAAAAATGGAAAAGAATATTTTCATGGTCTTGTTCAGTATACATGAAAATTCCCTTCATCTTACCCCATACCCACGTTTCTTCCCCCAGATCATGTTGCACAATGAAGAATGGGTGAAATATTATGGTTTACATGATGTATGTAATACATGTGGATGAAAAGTGGAAAAATAACTAAGCATTTCATGGATAGTTACATATCTGGATTTGGGGACTATTATTAAATCAACAATTAGTGTCTTTGGCATTCCTCTACCACTCCTTGGGCAGCATATCCCTGGTTCCATGATCCTCCTATCCAAGTGAGAAAGTTGCCTGCCCCATGCTCTTATTGTACCCTGACTGCCCCCCACTGTGTCTCCATTGGCATTCTCATTGCCCTCCCCCATCAGCATTTACTTGCCTGTCTTACTTCCACAGGTCCTGCTCCCTGGTGGTAATTTGATGAACTAACTTTTTGAAAATAATTGCATTACAAAAACTAGGCTTTATGGGTATTATTTTTAAAGACATGTCATAAATAATATTTAAGAAACCTTGGTATGTTAAAATTTAGGCCTTTCTCTTCTTCTTAGATCATATATTAATAGTCTCATCCTCATTATTTAGGCCCATAGCTAGACCATATGACTAAGGCATAACAATTTTGAAGCCAAGTTTGGTGTTTAGATGGGCCAGTTGGTCTTACTTTTCACGTCAGATGAAATGAACATATAAATCCCCATTGTGGACCAGACCAAAGTATGCAGATGGCTCGGTGCAGATCCATGGCTACTACTGGAAAAGAACAGAAGTACCCATTGATGGTAGGTCAGTGAATTCATCTTCAGGAATGAAGATCCATAAACAAGAGATAGTGTGATATGGTCAGAGTTCTACATTTACTGTCTGATTCTGTATGTATAGCAGAGGTATTTCCAGCAATAAATTTAAATGACTATAGAAATATTTGAAAATGCATAGTCAATCATTCCAAGAAAATGTAGAATCTCTCAAAACCAAAACGTTAGAAAAGCATTTTGATTTTCACAGACAACAAAATAAATCCTTATCACCAGAGAAATAGGTATAGAACTCTGAAAGCTGAAATTGTCCAAATTGATTCTCTCAGATTTTGTTGGATGTTTGCTATGCGCATGTCATTACAGTTTGAATTTTCTTTTTATTTTAAACTGCTCAAGGTTTAAAAAATTTTTTTGCACAAACACATGGAAATGAGGAATGTAAAATTTGTTTTTATTAATCTTGTACATACAATGTTAAAGAAGACTTCACCTCCAAATGAAATTGATTTCTCTTATGCTTTTTCCTTTATTTTTCTTATGGGCCTGACCTTTACAGAAACAGGGAAGGCTAAATTCCTTCTGACCAGAAGTGATCATCTGCTTCTGGTCAAAAGAAAATGGGATGCTGATTAGCTACTATCATCTGTACCCAGCAATTCCCTCCACTCCCAGTCCCACCCACTCCCAAACCCATCCACCCACTACCACTTGCCCAAGGCAGCAGCTCCCACAGAGTGATGGCTTAGTAAGAGTTCACCAAGGCAACACATGGATATGAAACTCTTCTTTGACAGGTGCCGCAAATGAGCTTTATTGAAAGCGGAGTTTCCAGTAGTGGTCTGTGGAAGTAGCATCAGGCTTTTCTCCTACAATTCAGCCACATCAGGGAACTCGAAATCATATTTCCTTGCATGACCTATTTAATAATTTATTGTCTCACCTAATCTCTCCAACCTGTCCCAGTGGCTCTTGTTTTATTGACCAGGGTAGAGGGATATTTCTCCTCATCCTGTATTGCCTATTTCTAAATTTAAAACTCATACCTAAAATCTTAGTATCAAACAAAAATAGCTCAGGTTTTTCACACTTAAATTTAGTATATTGGATTTCAACTAAATAAATCTTCAAGGTTTTAGGAATGCTTCAACTTGTTTTGGTCTTGATATAGTTTTCAAACAAACCAACAAATAAAAAATCTTTTGAAATGGCAAGGTTTGTGTTCAACCAAACCAACTAGCATGGGGAAAACAACAACAACAACCGAAAACATTTCCAGAGGTTTTTAACTACGGAGAGTTGTTTAGGCCTCAGGATGTTTTTGCACAATCTGTCTAATCTTTCCCGTCAGGTGTTTTAGCATACAACTAAACCCCAGAGGGAAAGAAAAAATTCCTTTTGACTCACTCCATAATTCTTGTTTGACCCATATTTTATGCTAGTTCAAGCAGAAATCTGCTGAGAAGCTTACAAAAAATCTTTGAAAAGCTCTTTAGGGACAATTTTGTCACTCTTGATAGAAATGCCTACAGATGGACCCGCAGCCTTTTCTAATGGAGCTACAAACATTGCCTAATGCCTCACTGGGCTTGCACAGTGGGAAGGCTTCCTTTTGTTGGGTTAAATCAACAACCTTTAGAAAGGAGGACCATGTAGGCAGAGAGTATAAATGGAATTCCGCCATCATTTCCAGCTACCTCTAATCGTTTGTAAGAACTTAAGAGATAAGTCATAAATAAGTACATGACTGTTCTTATTAAAATTAGGAGAGTTTGATTTTAAAGGAGACAATGTATTCAAAAATTATAACTCAAAAAGTCACAAGACAATGTTATATTTGTCGGTTCTGAAAATTTCTAGCTGTGTGTTCTTATATCAGCCAGCCTACCCCTCTGACTCTGATTGCTCACGCATAAAACAGGGATAAGAATATTGAAATAACTACCTCATCCACTTAATGTGATAAAATGAGAAATGGATGACAAAACACTCTGTACAACATGAAGAACTATTCAAATGCAGAGTATTATTTTCAGAATGCGGATGGGATTATACGAACTCCATTGTGAGGTTTGAAATGGGACACTTTTATCTCAACACTTATGATTATTACTAATACTTCTGCAGTTAGTGAACAGGAACTTGCAGGTTCTTTTTATATGTTTGTATCTCTGCCTAGTTTTTCTCTCTGCACTTTAAACAAATTATATTGCATTTTATATAAATTTAACACTATAGTATGTTTGCCTGAAGTGCCTGGAAATATACATGGATCAATTATATTGTTACACTTATAATAGCAGAAAAATTATACTTTAGAAAACAAGGCTTTTTAATTTATCGTCTATTAGAACAAAATTAAACATGAAAGCATGCTGTGTTATCTAGTTTTCCTTTCAATTATGATTTTAATGAAGAGTGACTTCTAAGTCAATCACAAGACTAAATGTTTGAGAATATCTATTAGAACACTATTCAAAAAAAGGGATTAAAAACACTTTAATATAAATTTTAAGGACTATGTCTAGGAAGAAAATCATATAAAATGTCATATAGAAACACTTAAGTCACAATAATTAAAAATAAGGTGTGAAATAAGGGAAGTGTTTGATTACTGTGAAATTTATAATTGAAAGAATATTTAAAGAACGTGAATAACATGAAGAAATCAACTGAACTTATTTGATGGAAGAAAAGGTGAGAGGTGGAATTTTAAAAATGAAAGTTTTAGTAAGGCTAACAAGAAAAAAGAAATTGTGCTTTGATGATAATCTATAAACTGGGCTGAGTAACACATATTCAGAATTATCCTAATGTTTAAGCTGATTGTTTCCTTAATTACCTAATTTAGGAAACACCTCAGTGGTTTACCTCTGTAATGCGACATATATCTTACATTGCCACCACATATATAATTAATAGGGAGAAGGACATATGAAATGTTTTTAATTTTATGAGAATAAAAAGAACGCAATAGGAAAGTATAAGGCTTGATTTTAATTTTGTGCCAAATATAGACTCATAAAATCAAATATTTTAGGGCTGAGAGGTACTTAAGGGGGCAAATAGTACTATCCTATTTTAAAAAAACATTATTTTAATATGTGCTTTTGAATTAAATTTGAAGATAATTGTATAATCACCCTAGCTTCATTCCTTGTCACTGGCAGTGGCACTCTTTCTTGGGGGAAAATTCTAGCAATGTTGGGGTCAGGTTACAGATGGATGTAAATTTGCTTTCCTTTCTGAACAGAGCTATGAGTTGAAGGTTGGCCACTTCTGCAAAGCAAGAGCTCATGGAATTTACCTTCCTCTATCCAGGAACCTGAGAAGATTGCAAAGTAGATCAGACGTGGGAGAGAGAAATAGCAGAAGTGTTGCCTAGGGCAGCCCAATCCCATTATTTATTTACATTTTAATGCAATCTCTGATGCTTTCATTTGGTGACAATTTTCCATCTATCTTATAGTGTTTCCAAGATGGAACTTTGTCCTGCTCTCAAATGTCCAATCATTACAGCTGTCACTAGCAATGAGGCAGTAATTAAAATCTATTGCAACGAAATCAATTGAGAAAACAAAACTGACACATTCATTTTAAGCTGCATCATATAACAATGGCTCAGAACCCAGTAGTTTATGAATGAAATAAAGATACTTTATTTATTACACAGGCACTTGGAGATTCACATGCCCAACACATCTGATACACTTAACAACTATGGAAACACGAGTGGAAAATGTCTGTTTGTAGGATCAAGAGAGAACTTTCACCATGTAAAGGTAAATGAGTGCATTAACAATTTTTCCTTTACTTTCCTCTAAGAATTTTCAAAATCCACTAAATTTTTAAAAGTTACACTTGAAATAATAGGCAAAAAACACTGATCCACATTCCAACTGGTAGGCTAACTTGAACTGTGAGCAATTTAAACTTTTATCACAATGAAACATATTTATAGTCATGCTTGAACAGATTAGGTTAGTAGCATGCATTCCATTCTGCAATATGAATATTGTTAATCTATTTCCCAACAAAAGTCAAAAGATGCCCAGTGCATAGAAAAATACAAATCACTGTAGTCAATATATTACGGGACTGATCTTGGGACTTACATGGTGATGATGAAGTCCTGAAATGCCATGCCCACAAAAGCACATTAAAAAGTGGATAAACATATTTTATCAGACAATCTCTAAAAATTAAAGATGAGAGCTTTAAATTTGGGGATGTTCTTGCTGTGTGCTTTGAACAGGGCCTTTCTGCTCACCTCCTTCTGGCTTGACTGGTCCATCAGACATCACCTTCCTGAGGGCTAGCTGGCTTTGGTCTTGGTTGCCATTGGCTGGTGGAGGCAGATTATCAGACTGAGTTCTTTGAATGGGGAGGACTCCTGCTATGCTGTGTCTGTGCTGCTTCCTGGCATGATTAGACTGACCGCTTTTATGTGCTGCTGTGGCAGTGTGGGTGAAATGGAAACCCAGAGTATGTATCCTCAGATGGAACCAGCTTAAATGTTATTCATGCAAACAGAAGTGCTCTTTTGCTCTATTTAAATAGGTTGTGTTTTCAAATGCCAAAATGACACCACATGCACAGCACTAAAGGGGTTTAAAACTGGCTGTTTCTTTGAAAATGATGACTAGGGAGATGGAGAGAACAATGATCTATCTCCATTGCCTGGCTAATGCCTTTTAGAAGTAACAGGGTACCTACATTTGTGAAATATTTGCACATATTAAGTTTTTATATAATTATATCAATCGACTAAATTTTCACAAATGAAATGAAAATACAGCAGTTAAGATAGGTCAATTGTTATACTTTGATTGACTTATAGCTACCAGACATAGTATATCTTGATTTCCAATGGTTAGAAAAAATATCTGTAAAATCTGTCATCACATACAAAGTGTGATCCAACAGAATGGACCCAATTGTGCTCCTCAGTGAGGTTGCATTGCCTTATCACATATGCTTATACATATATTAATTTAATGTAGTTTTTTGAGAATGTAAGAAATAAGATTTTCTTCACAGATTTTTCAGAAGACTACAATTTTTTGCACATGGAAAGCTACCATATTTCAGAAGCAAAATTTGTTAGTGTTTTAAAGCACTGTCTTGAAATGGCTTTTCCTCCAAGGTTCTAGAAGTTGACTGTTGGTTGCATTATCTTCTGCCTAGACTTTTTGAGTGTTTTCAGATACAAGAATCTAATTGCAAATCTGCTCTAAATACTTATATGTGTGCACTTTTTTTTTTTTGGTATAAGTCCTGGAAAACTGGCAGCCACTTGTGCTTATAATTTCTGTATTCTAAAAGATATTTAAGCGCAAACAAAAAGGACACACAACATTGCTTTGCTTCCAAACATCACAGACACTGTATCAAATGCTATGAGCCAGGTTGGATGGATGGTGGAAACAAAGGAGAAACAGCCAGTTTTATTTCAGTCTATGTAAATAAAAAAAATCTAAATAAGAAAGAGCATATTAATGTATTTATATCGTTCTTACACAGACAAAGGGACAGAGAACAGGGTGAGCAGAGGATGTTGAAAACTGAAAGCAAACAGGAAAGGACAGCAGGAAAGAAAGGCAACAGATGAACATTAAGCTGCCATGCTGAGGAATTTATTTGCGTCTTTTACTTGGTTGAATGCGGAGTTGTTGCACGGCAGCTTCGGCAGCAGCTATGGCAGCCCCTGCATCTTCCAGGTGGGTCTGAGTGACGCTGGTTTTGCTTTGACTGCGAGATGGTCCATGAGAACGGAGATGGCCTTCTGATGATGATTTTGAGCTACCAGGACTACTATGGGATTTCTCAATGGTGGGAACCTGCATGTCTGGTCACAAAAGGGTAAAACATGAGTTAAAGTTGTTCCAGCATTCCTCCTATCAAGCTTGGTTTACACATAATTTGAAACTGCCTAAAATTTATGTTAATTCTGAGTCTTATATGATTCATTTATGCAACTGGTCATCATACAGAATGATGATTAAACATCTGGGAAACAATTTGGGGGAGGAAAGGCAAAAGGATGATAGCAATGAGAAGAGAGAACTTTGAAAAAAGAAATACATTCTGACTAGCTTCTAGTAATAAATATGTTAACTTTTAGTTTCACCAAGCACCTCTGCTAATTCCAGCAGAGGTCAGGTAGGAGACAATACACAGGAGGAGTTTTAAGCAAAAACAGGATGAAGGATGTGAATCACTAGGACATATTAAGTGTGGAGATTGTAGAATCATGCCTCAAACCATTGTAGAGAATGTATGGATCACGTATTTCCTAAGGCAGTCATAGAAAGAGATCTTTATACTAATGATCATGCAGTATGTTAAGCAAGATAAGAGTTGAGATGGCTAAGTGGAACCCATAAATGATCTATAAAACTCATTCATAAATAATCTACAAAACTCGTAGTCAGCAGTTTATGATATCAACTCAGTGGCCTACTGGACATGGACTCACTTTCTCATCTCCTAGAACACTTGCATTTATGATTCAGAGAATCTCATGTACAAAGAACCACTTTACAATTTGCTGGACTTTCCTAGAAAAGGTGACAAGGAAGTAATACTCAAGTCCAATATAAAAATTATATTTAATACTTACAAATAGTTCAGTATATCTAGGTAAGGTACCACATGTTTTATCCCACAGAGGCAGTAGCTCAGTTTATGATGAGGATTAATGTTGTGTTGTAGGACAGTTGGTTATGAACCTCTCAAAGGAAAAGCTCATTTGAATGAGAGTGCTGTACATATTTGCATATTGCCAAACCCAATGTATGGCACTGTTATTTAAAAAATAATAATAGTTATTAAAAAATTAGCTTGAGTCCAACATTTAGGAAAGACTTAAGTAAATTTCAGCATACCAATTGTTTTGATGACAGGGGAAAATATTCTTTGTATGATAAATAAAAAGTAGCATGCAAAATTATATTTATTGGGTAAGACAATATTTATGGACAACCAGAGATTCAAACAATTAGAAGGATTATAACTTAATGATAATGATGATTATGTCTAGTCAATGAACTCGTAGGGATTTTTGTATTATCTTTATGAAATACCCAAATGCATTTTCTGAAATCATGTTATCATGGATTTTGAGGTGGAATAGACCAAATAGCTCATTTTACATGTTGAAATTGGACAGTTAGAGAAGTGAAGATTACAAAGTACTACACCTAAGTATGGGTGATGATCTGAGAATAAAGCCCATTTCTCCTGATTCCACTCTTTGCATGACATTATATTAAGTATTTTCCAGTCGTGTCTAATCTATTAATATAGGTTAAATGTACAAACATTCACACTAAGAAGATACAGACTGAACAAATAGACACAAAACTTTTTCTACTTAAAAAAATATTTCCTACCCTTTGATGGGTCAGGGAAGATACCATGGCTTCTGCTTTTGATAACAGATGGCTTTGGGGACTGCTGGCTGCTCTGACTGGAATGAGACTTGCCATGATCAATGCTTTCAGTCTGTTCTTTGAGAGGATACCACCTTGGAGTGTTATCGAGGTGAGATGTGCTAGATAAATCAATCAATACCTGAAAAAAAGTGTAACAAATAAATGAAATTTAGGGACTAAAGTATAATTGATTCATTACTTTTTCTATGTTCTAAAATTTATTCAAGGATATAAACCAAGGAATACAGTATAACTTTTGAGGATGATGATTCTTTCTTCCTCAGTTTTCTTCACCAATGATACTGGAAACAATGTCTTTTACATACTAGATGCTTAATAAATGTTTGCTTGAACTGAACTGTATAAAATTTTTGACTATTAACTAAATTATTTGGATATGATGTTAAAAGATAGGGTCACAAGTCAATCTGTTCATAAAACAAAACTTCTTTTTGTTGTAAGAACTTATTTTAATCTTACACGGTGAAATCCCGTCTCTGCTAAAAATACAAAAAAAAAAAATTAGCTGGGCGTGGTGGCGGGCACCTGTAGTCCCAGCTGTGTGGGAGGCTGAGGCAGGAGAATGGCATGAACCCAGGAGGCAGAGCTTGCAGTGAGCTGAGATCACACCACTGCACTCCAGCCTGGGCGACAGAGCAAGATTCTGTCTCAAAAAACAAACAAATAAACAAACAAACAAAAACTCATAACTTATTTTAATCTTAAACTGGACTAGCAACCTTGAAAAATGTTTGATTTTAGTCACAAAAGGGACAAAATGGAAAAGAATGAGTAAGTTGCAATTACAAACTTATTTATTCTATTTTAAAACATACTTTAGTTCACATTTGAAATAGGGATATGACTACCACATTTTGTCATGGTTTAATTGGCAACTTTTTTTTTCTTAGTACATTGGTGCATTTTACAGTTGCTGACATCTTAGATATGATGAGCTAAAAAGAAATGAAAACCAGACCAATGGATATATGCTTTAGGCTCATGTAAACATAAGACCATAAATTAGAAGGACTTCAGTAAGTCACTTTTTTGAAATGAAACATAAAGTCAGGCATAATACTAATCTAGAGTACTCCTGCCTAGGATCAAGATTAGTCCAAGTGGCTAGAGCTGGATGGAACTGGAAGGTAAGGGTCAAATGCTCCAGTTTTGGTGAAAAGAGATGTGCAAAGTCTTAAGAACCAAACAAGTCCTCATTATCACCTTGATTACACAAAAGGATGTCGTATTTTGTAGGTTTTGGATTTTTTGGAGATTATTTTTAACATTAATTCATAACTTCTGCCCTAAGCAGAACACTAAACAATGTGTATGTGTGTATATATATTATATATATTATACATAATATGTATAGTATATATACATTGTATATATAACGTGTATATATACATTATATATACACTGTAGACATACAATTGTATACACTGTATAGTATATATTATACATTGTATATAGACATATATACATTGTATATACACATGATATATACAATATATAAAATATATGTATATACAATGTATAATATACGTATATATAACATATAATGTAAATGTGTATATATATACACAATGTGTACATATCTACATTATACATATAATATTCCTATATATAAACAATATGTGTATATATTATGTTCATATATATAAACAATGTATATATATAATAGATTAAAAATCACAAGATCTGTTCATGCTACCAATTTCATGATTATTTGTTTATTTTTAAATTTTTACAAGTACATAGTAAGTGTATATATTTATGGGGTATATGAGATATTCTGATACAGGCATACAATTAGGTTATTTTGATTCCTTGATGTTAATGTAAAAATTGTTTTTATTGTTTTCTCCTACTTGTAGTTTTGCTTCTTAAAATGTTTTCAGTGATTTTTCTCAGAATACTTAATTATAAATAACAATGCAATCAATATGTCACATCAAATCAATTAAAGAACCTGTAAATGCATTTTTAAAAGTCCAGGCCATTTTATAATATAATAAATTTGTTACTTCAAATCTCATTTGGACTCACAGTATGATTACATATCTTCCTATTGAAAGAAAATTTCATCTTAGAAATTAATTATAAAGTACATCAAGTGATAGAGTGAAAACCATTTCTTGAATTGGTATTAATCTACTCAAATAGTAAATCAGGAAATAAATTCTATCTGCCAGAAGATTTTTTTCAGAAACGGCTATCTTATAAACTTCAGAAACATGCTTTGCATCGTGCTTTAATTGGTGGTTTACCATAGCAGCAAATAAGGGAAAGGAAGTCAGAGGCTTACCTCCCCAAGGAAGTCGTTGGATGAAAATCTATCATAATCCCAAACTGTCACCTCCAGTGTTTTCTTCTTGAGCTATATAGTTCAAATAGAAATCTAATTAAACCTATCTTTCCATCATACATTTTCATTACACACATACAGTAGACATATTTATTTTTTTCCTTAAACTCCTTCCATTTATGTGAAAATACTTAAAATTTTACCGAAAACTATGTAGTTTAAATATTAAATATTATGTAAAATTTGAATGATTTTGCACTCTAAACTAGTGTTTGATCATGGGGAACATTATTATTTTGTGAATAAAATGATAATTCTTACTTATTTATTGTATCCCCACCTCATTTTCAAAAATAGAAATCAGAATTTATAAATACTCTAAATATAAGAAATTCATAGATTGCAAAAATGTCTAGTATTATCTAGATGAAGTATTGGATTAAATGTTTCAGCAATTTCCAAAAAACTTAGTAGCATTGCCTTATTTCTGCAGGTGAGTTTATTTTAAATTCACAAACCCAGATTATAATTTATATCCAGCTTCATCTTTGTAATGAAATTAATCTACTAGAAGACAAATTAAGAATCTCATTTTGAAAGACAGTTCACTTGTAAATTGGTTTATGTGGGAACTGTCTTTATAGTTTTCTCTCTGAATTCAACCTTATACATTTCAGTTATTGTCTGTTAAGCAAAGATATAAAAATGCAGATTTTCAGAAATATAATAATGTAATTTTTGCCTACAGTTACTTATCTCTGGTGATAATCCTTTATACTAGTCATCATTTTGCCTTCTTCTGTAGAGATTAGCACCACAATGCCAGATTCTTAGGAGGCCTCAATTTAGCAAAGAGATGAGATCCTAAAATATTGTCTAGTGGAGTAATACAGTTCTATGCACTGAATCTTATTTTTTTTGTGTATTGTGTATGAAAGTCAAAATATAGCCAGTTGGAAAATGTGTTTCTCTCTCAAATATGATAAATGTGGCTTAGTCTATTAAAAATTTTAAATTCTGAAATAACAAATGGAAAATATTCCACTAGTTTTCTTATTTTATTTGTTTATGTTTTGGCTGCTTTGTCAAAATGTGCACATTTACTTTCACCCTGTGCTTAAATGTCACTCATTTTTTTCCATTGGCTACATTTCTTACATGTATTTTACTCAACTTTTTTTGTTTGATTGGCAAAATGTATACAGATCCCAATTTTTGAATAATTGTGTTATCACTGTACTTATATTAGCCTAATTCTGTCACCTAGAAATAATCTTGACATACCTGTTCCATGGAAATACTTTTATAAATTACTGTTTGATTCCACTCAGGATTAAGACTTTTCTGGACATGTTTAGTCCTTCTCTTGTACTCAGCACTGAATTGGGAGAAAAGAAAGAGTTATCTTGATTATTCACCTTAGTTTATGACTTCACAGTTAAACTAAAGGACATGCAGACTATTCAAGATATTTTATTTCAAATCACTATATAATTATCTCATCATCCTCATGTCTTAAACCTTAGTTTAAGTTGAATGCACAGTGACAATTTAAAAATATGTTGGATGCTTGTAGTTTTCTTTGCCCTTATGATTTTTTTTTAAAGAAATGCTTGTAGGTGTTCTAAATATACTATAATTTCAGAAATCTTGCTCATTCCTGAATGTAGGAGATAATTACATGAACTAAATAGTAACATCAATGTTACTGCCCCATAAACAATAATTTGGTGTTTAACCTTACTATAGTTTTGTACATACGGAAAAGCAAAACTAAAACATTGTAATGAGTGTACTGAGAAAAAGATGAAGAATGGCTGTTGCTGTGGCTCACATTCCATAAACACTTGTTACTGATATCTAAAGTATATTCCAACACTCTTGGTAAAGTATATTTAATGCAGTTATAAAGCAATTTTAATTAAATATAAATTTTTGGTTTATGTCAATATGCTATTTTACAATTGATGAACCAAATAAAAATCTTTCCTCAATTATTAGAACTTGGGACATCTGCATTAATCCTTGACTTTCCATTTCCTCTGAGCACCAATTAGAAGCTTATATGCTACACATTTAAAAACAATTTATTTTCAAAGCCTATCCTAATGAAGTCTGGCAGAACATCTATAGCTGGCACCAACCTGCTGATGGGGTTGAAATTAGATTACTGTTACTTGCTATTACCAAATGGTGCCCACACAGACAAGGCCTTTCTCTAACTCTCACTGCTTTTTTCTGAATTTTCTGCCCAAGCTTATGTCTCACGTTCTAAATAATACTTCATCTGTGGTGGGCACTAGAGTCCTGTAAACCAACCTCTCTGTCTGGGGGTCTTGACATGTGTCTGGATTTCACAAGTTGCCTTTCCCTAAAAGGGGGCTGGACCCTGACTCTTGTAATCTGTAGTTCTATTCCAAACTATAGCCAGACTAACTCTTGCTACATTCCTGGTCTCAAGTATTGCCATATCCTGGATGCCTAGAAATTTTCCCCAGCCACTAATTTACCTATACATTGTAGAGAAAGCTATTGAGGATCAAACTCCAGCTCACCACTCACTTTTAAAGATGGGCCTGCAGGCAAGTACTTTCCCTGTATCTCTGATTTTATTTTCTTACCAGTCAGATACAAGGGAAATAACGCTCAACATTGACTGCATAATGGGATCACCTGAGTTCTGGTGGTGGGAGGTGGGTCAGTCAACCCTCCACCCACTTCCCTCTTGCCCCTGCTTACTCCCCGAAGGAAAGTCTGACTTGATTAGTCTGGGATGAGGCTTGAGTATTAGGATTTTTGAAGGCTCGCAGGTGAATCTAATATGTAGCGAAGATTAAGAAGCACCGAGTTGGTGTTTCATAACACTTCACAAGTCAGCCATTGTGAGCTGAATCCAACTGAAGAAATAAAGCAGCATTCCTCGCACTTCAACCTATTTGAATGTACACAATTAAGGGCAGAATTTGACAGCTGTCACTCAAGATAAATTACAAAGAATTTTAGGGAAATATACAGACAATGATTTAAAGAAAGAGGAGCTCTCATAGACTATGGATAGGAAGTTTCTATATATACTTTTTAGATAAATTTGTCAATATCTAGTGAAGTTTAAGTTTATATACCCAAACATCCAAATATTCAATTTCTACTAATTCCACTTCTGCCATAGAGAAATTCTCCTACCTGTGAACAAGAAATTTGTTCAAGAACATTAATTGCAACATTATTTCAATAGTAAGCCAATAGAAGAACGAATAAATACATTGTGATATATTCATTTCAATGAAATAGTAAGTGGCACTGAAAATCAATTAAATTTTAAAAGCCTCCATATGTCAAGATAGATACATCTTGAAAAAAGTTTTGATCAAAAACTTAATATGGTATGGTATAATGGTATAAACATAAAATCATGTGAAATAAGGTTACACATTATATATACATGTATATATGACATACATATATATTAATATCGTAAGAAAACTTGTAAATTATGAATATTAAATTCAATTTAGTGAGTTTTTTAATGGATAGGGAAGTGATTTCAGAGGGCTTCAGGGTATTATCTTTTAAAAAATCTAAAACAAATATAGCAAAATCTTAAAATTTGACAAAATTGGATAGCAAGCACACAGGTATTTGTTAGGGTATTTTCTATAATTTTTAGTAAACTTGAAATATTTTATAATGAAAAATTCAAAAATTTTTAGTAAGATATGTTCCTTTAAATTTAGTTTTGGATTCTTTTTTTGATGGTGACTTAGAACTAATGACTTAATTTGATGGTGATAGAATTAGTGTCTACAAAAAAGTGTCTACATAGAAATAATACATATAAATTAATACATAGAAAGAGTTAATAACTTTAATTTGATAGTGACATAGAAAGAATTAGTGACGACTTTTAAGTTAATAGTAAACTTGGATTGCTACTTTAGAATCATGGCTATTCTCATAGGTGAATATACATAGGAAACAAACACATGGTAGTATGAGTTTTAAAGCCTCTGTTTTGGACTTACTTATCAAGGTGGTGAGGTTATGGAAACCATATTAAGATTTATAATACACTGAACAGTAATAAAATTATGTTTTTTAAGTTCTAAAAAATACATAATTTGTTTAACAAGATGGGAATTAATATCAAATGCAAACCCATGTACTATCACTAAAATTCTGGGTCTGCCAATACATATTAAAATAGTCTGAAGTAGTATTAAAATACCTTTGAAGGGATTTATCAGTCACTATCTTTTCTTAATCCATACATGTGAATAATTGTTATTCAAATTTTTCAAATCCACATTTAGTCTTTTTTTCACTTATACACCTAGCAAAAATTAGTGAATGCCAACTCTGTATCAGGAATTGTAGATGTCTATCAACTAAAAAACCCTTAATTGTATTGACATATGAGTATATATTTAATTCATGCATGAAAAGCATTTTTAAAAGTAAGCATATTAAAATCATAACTAACATTTATTAAATGCCTCCTTTTTCCTCTGGTAAAGTTCTAAGTGCTTTTCATGTGTTAACTCATGTAATACTCATATTAACCCCATTATACAGGTATTACTTCTTACTCCATTTTATAGGTGAGAAAACTTGAAGCTCAGAAAAATTAAGGCGTATTGTCAAAGTTGCATAGTTATTAACTGGACCAGGATCCAAACATAGGTAATTTGATTTCTTGCTTTTAAATAAATGTTATATGAACTCAATTGATTAGGCCCATCATAAAATGTGACATCCATCTATTTTCTTAATTGCAGGCTTCACTACCTGAAGTATCTAGTTTGTCTTCTTTATAATCTAAAATTCTCCATCTCAATTTAAATACATAATTTTTATACATATAATATAAATTATGTATAATGTGTGTAGACACGCATTATAAACATCGTGAACAAGTTAGGCCTTCTTTAGAGTTGCCTAGGGAAATTCTGAATAGTACATCCGAAGTGAGTGTTGTGGAACAATTACGCCTACTTATTGTAAATACTGATGTTTGGCCAGATACATTTAGAAATAACCTAAACTGATTGGACAAAAGTTAAAATGTTCATTTTAATAGAGTATCTTAATCATAGTAATGAGTTTGATTCTCCAATTCTCTCCAGACCTAAAACATCCTTTAGAATTAATGAAAGTAAAAACAGCTTGCTCCTAAACACCAATGAAAGCCTTTGCAGTATTTTTTGCCCTTGCATTTCCTGACATGCAGAGCTGGTCACACAAAGCCATTCTTCAATAACAGTTGTTTTATAACTACCATGCTCTGATCATATCATACACAATTTCAATGAACTGTGTTGCCACCTAACACAATTTAAAACTCTACACAAAATAGTCATATCAAAATCTGTGGAGTTGAAGGTAGGCAGGTAAACAGGGGGATTCTTAAATGTGAGCATAAAGTCAGGCTGAGAAATAAGTGGAGTTCATCCTCCCTTTCCTTTCTTGTCTAGTAAACACACTATATTCTCTTGTGGGAAGATTACATTAATGATTTAACATTAGGACAATTAGGACAATTATATCTAATAATTAAAGAAGTTTATTAATAAGGGAAAATAAAAAGGTCAATACATAAAGATGGGACATGGTGCTTATCAAAAAATATCTAAAACTTCACCCTCTTGAAGTTTTGCCTTGTTTGTTGGTTTGATTATTTATTTTTTGAGATGGAGTCTTGCTCTGTTGCTCAGGCTGGAGTGCAGTGCAATCTCGGCTCACTACAAGCTCTGCCTCCTGGGTTCACGCCATTCTCCTGCCTCAGCCTCCTGAGTAGCTGGGACTACAGACACCCACCACCATGCCCGGCTAATTTTTTTTGTATTTTTAGTAGAGACGGGGTTTCACCATGTTAGCCCGGATGGTCTTGATCTCCTGACCCCATGAACCACCCTCCTTGGGCTCCCAAAGTGCTGGTGGTTTATTTTTTTATTTGTTTTTATTGGTCATTTTGTCATGCATAGGTATATATACTTTTAAGGCTGTCTGAAAAAATTTTTGAAATTCAATTATTCTACTCAAGACCAGCAGGAAAACAGTTTCCATGTACATATTTTTTAATTTCAAAAGAAAAACTGAGAAAAGATAATGAAATTTGAAGGCTTCTTTGGTGTATCTACTTTCATAAAATTATCTAAAACATTGAAAGTATTCATTTTTAATGATTTATCTGGTTTTCCTTTACTAAACTTACTACACACACACACACACACACACACACACACACACACACACACACGTTTTTCAAAATTACTCCTCTGAGGTTATTTCTCTTAATTTAGAAAAAATACAACTTGCATCCCATTTTGTAAGCTCTGTTTAATAGTGCGATGGTGTGCTTATTGTCTATCATTTTATTTTCCTCTTTGCTCTCTGATGGCAGAGACTATATGGCTACATTGTCAATTGTAACCCCTGCACCTGGCACAGTGTCTGACACATAGTCTGTGCTAAGTAAATATTCAGTGATCCTTAGAACATGCTTGTATTTTGTTTTCCTTTAAAATCTACTGAAGTAAAATAAATTTTGGACACCATATTGTAAATACACACACCACCTGTACCTGCTTTCCACAGGTCCCAGAGGAAATAGTTTGATAGGATACCAATGTTGTTTAGAGAAAGGTCCAGCCAGGAATTGGGCTTCCAGGTATAAAGATAGCTAAAAATAATTATATTCATAACAAAATCTCAGTAATGAGAAAATATTTTCACTTCGCTCAACAGTGTGATGAGAGAAAACCAGAGCGAGGCCCTTCATATATGCTCATTTCCATTTCTTAATTATCCAACAGGAAGTATTGAGTTCACGCACGACCCAGACCTTTTCCTAGTCATTCTCTC
The DNA here is from genome assembly GCF_000001405.40 of Homo sapiens. Classification (NCBI taxonomy): domain Eukaryota; kingdom Metazoa; phylum Chordata; class Mammalia; order Primates; family Hominidae; genus Homo; species Homo sapiens. Next base: position 82,833,450 of record NC_000007.14, read on the forward strand.
ACCTTATCTTGCCTGACATTTTGCCCCTCAAAGTTTGAGTATATTGATCAGAGGGTGGGAAGAAAAAAGTAAAGGAGACAAGGAAACCAAATCAGTGTACTTTTTAACTAGCTAACAGGACTCTTATTTTAAATTTAAGAATGAAAGATGTATTACATTTTAATATTAAAGAAAAGTTGTTTAATTTTCTATATAGTATTTTAAAATAATTTAGTATAATTCAGAAGCTCAAGCATTCTGTACCTTTCTGTTGCAGAGATAACCAACCACTGGTCGCAAAAAAATGTATGATACACATTGCTAGCAATAATAATAACAACTACTATTGATTGAAAGCTTATTATGTTCCAGACATTATGCTTATCACTTTTGATGTATTTATTTCATGTATTTCACAGAAGGCCTGGGAAGGGAGCTGTTATTATTCCTATTTTGCAGAAGATAAAATAGTTTTAGAGAAATCTTAAAGCTTCTAAGTGACAGGGCTAAAATTCAAACGCAAGTTCTTAAGGACCTCACTTATTGGCTTCCACAGTCTAACTTACAATGTCAGTACCTTGTCAATATAATTCCCTCTTACATTGACAATTCTCAAAGACATGGTGAAAGTGATTTCTAGATGAAAGATATAAGAAAGTAGCTTCTAGATCTTTTAAATAGTTATTTAAGACATGGTATTATTTATAATTTATAAAATATTCTCTCTTTTATAAGTTAAATACAATCTCTATCATTCTGATAATTTTCCCCAAGTTTCTATATATAAAAGATAGGGAGATTCTGAATAATGTGATTAATAATATCTGTTCTAAAAATAACACTATTTCTTTGAAACAAAACTAATTTTGCATATCAGCCTGAGATACCTGGATTGTGTTCTGTGATGAGAGAACCAGCCATAACAAGGAATCTATCACAGCGTCAGTTACATTGTTTGCCATAATTATGTGGCTGTAAGGAAACAAAAAGTTTCTGGGCAATAGCAAGGCTGTGGTAACAAATCCTATTGTTTGAAATATTTACGTATTTATGCTTTTAAAAATCAGAAACAGCCTCATTTGGGAAACAGTTCATTCGTAGTAAATATGTGAAATTTTAATGTCATAGACAAAAACGAATGCTGTACCATTAATAATCTGGGTGGGATTAAAATTCCCATCACCCTATTGCTACAGATCATACATGATTTGCCTTCCCAACTAAATGACACATTTAATTTATAATGCAATGAGAGATGTGCAAAATAATGCTTTTGGCTATGTACTAAGAAATTGTCTTAGTTGACAGTGTAATGATGCAACTTGTCATGAGCTGTATTAGAAAACGCTCCTACTATTGGGAACAAAGGAAGATTAACTTATTGCTAATATACTACAGCAAGCCAATTATGGCATCCTACATTGCATAGCAGAAATTTTGTGGGGCAGAAGTTACAAAGGCATGAAAATGTTTCAACATTAGGTTCAAGTGAGGGACCAAGTTCAAACACCTATTATCTTTTTTTTTGTTTGTTTGTTTGTTTGTTTGTTTGTTTTTTGAGGCTGGAGTGCAGGGGTGCGATCTTGGCTCACTGCAAGCTCCACCTCCTAGGTTCACGCTATTTTCCTGCCTCAGCCTCCCAAGTAGCTGGGACTATAGGTGTCCGCCACCATGCCTAGCTAAGTTTTTGTGTTTTTAGTAGAGACGGGGTTTCACTGTGTTAGCTAGGATGGTCTCGATCTCCTGACCTTGTGATCTGCCCACCTCGGCCTCCCAAAGTCCTGGGATTACAGGCGTGAGCCACCGTGCCTGATGGGATATACACCTGCACTGGACATCCAGAAGACCCATTAATTACTTTTGAAAAATGGCTACAGATATTTTTAATAGAAGACTCGAGAACTTAAATCATGATTATTATGTGAGAAGCTAAATGAGTTTTAGTGAATAGATTATGAGACTTTAGTTATGTCTAATTTCATGGTAATAATATTTTTTTCATTGTTTCTATGCTTTTAATATTTTCTACTTTTCTGTGTTCTATTGCACACATCTGCTAAAGCTATTTAGAAATATGCTCAGAACAATTTGTCGCAGTGCTGATTCAATAGATACAAACATGTAGAAAAATATAAGTTACAGCCCATGTTGAAGTGCCAGTGAATGTACATAAAAATGCCAAAAGTATAATTCAAGACATAGCAGCAGAGCTTGACACTGAAAGAGAAACAACTCTACCTTGCATTCTGGACAACCATGACTTGACTGCATTGATTCCAAGAGCGAGAGTGAAGGGGTAAAACAGGAAAGTAGAAAAGACAGGAAGAAAATAGTTAGGAACAGAAATAAGAAAGAAAACATGAAAATAATAACTAGAGGAGCTATCCCATAACATAAATGACATGAGGCAGAAAATGCTAGAACTACAGTGAAAATAATACCTTGCAAGTGTAATACATTCCAAGGCCTTTGCTTGTCTAATAATTAGGAGTGTGATTAAAAGAAAGACCCAGGAATTGAATAGGGGTAGCTTATTAGCTGCCTTTGAGCCAAACCTCACCAAGTAGGGACGTTTTATTTGACAAATTGCATGAGGATAGCTTTAGGTGGGGCATTTGTTCTCCATTTCACCATGGTTCCCACCATTCCTTGTTGCTTACCCCAGAATGGACTGACAGATTCATGTTACCTGCCTGTCCTTCCTGGTTCTTTAAGTTTGTAACATTCTAATTGACACATATCCTGTAATAAATAAAAGATAGATACTCCCATATTGTGTAAAAGATGATATTCCAGGATATCATTAGAGAATATAGAATATAAACAACAATGCTTTATTTTCATTCTTTCATTTGCAAATGCTTATTACAGACAAATCCTTGGCAGTGATTTCCCCTTGTATCATAATATTGTCATAAATAACATTGAAGGTCTAATAAATCAAAGGCGGAATGAAGTTATCAGTTTGTTGTTGTTGTTAGACTCTAAAAGATATTGCCAAATTATAGTTACAACTACTATATATAGATATAAATGAATTAACATAAAACAAAAACTACCTTTTCCTATACTATGTGACTATTGGTAATCTCTACATAAAATTATTGGTTTTTCAAAATGTTCAATAAAGTAAAACTAGAGCAACCATACCAACAATTCCAAGTTTTTAAAATAAAATTATTGAGAAGGATGAAATTAAAAGCTGTGAACTAACTTTGATATAGCACCTGGCAATTTAAAAATTATTTTCTGAGTATTATCTAATTTGGTTCTCCTGACAAGCTAAAAATGATGATTCTGCCTACCTCGGCTCTCAGGGTTGACAAGAATACTGAATCTCAAAGAAATTGGTGATCTGCCTGTGGTGATATAAATACTAAGCAGCAGATTCAAGGGCAGTGTATAGCTCTAATTTGGATCCTGTTTAAACAAACCAACTACAGTAAAAGAATACACTTCATATAATTAAAATGCTTTTAAATTTGCCACAGATTATTTTATGTCCTAGAAAACAGTCTATTTTGGTGAATGCTCCATGTGTACTTGAAGGGAATATGTAATTTGCTATTGATGGGTAGTATATTCTGTAAATACCAATTAGATCATCAAACCAGCTAGGAAAATATTAAGAGGCAACCAAACAATTATTTGAAAAATTTAAAATTATGCTTATACGAGGTATTAAGGCTATTTTTAAATGAGTTTTATTTTTCAGAAATATATACTAAAATATTTGCAGAAATAATTATAATAGCTGGGATTTACTTCCAAGTAATCTGGATTAAGGGAGTGTATGAGGAAAAGAAACATGATTGGTCACTAAGTGATAACTGTTGAGGCTGAGTGATGGGTACATGGTGTGTCAAATTATTCCTTCTACTTGTGTACCACAATGGAAAATTTCCAAGTTAAAAGGAAAATTCAAATATCACTCCACAAATTAAAATGAAAATGAATAAAAAATAAAACCAGTTTCTTTAAATTACCAACTCAAAGTTCTTTTTATTTTACCTCCATTTGTTGATCTTATGTTTCCATCTTGCTAATTTGGCTGATATGAATTGCTCAAGTGAAGGATAATAATTTGTAGGGTTCAAATCAGTGCTTTGAAACTATCCTTGAGTACTGACTTATATACCAGAACACAGCAATTTGCATTATGTGAAAGTTAAATATCTCCAAAGAACACTTGCTTATATCAACAATTTATACATCACACAAGAGATTCAAAGAGATATTTTTTATTTATTTACCAAAGTCAATACTTCAAATATCACTTTGTGCTATTTTATAATTTTTAAATCAGTGATTTGGAAATATGTGTATAAATAAGGATACATCAAGAAGCCACTTAATCAACACTAACATAATGGAAAATACACATGTCCTATAAAAATAAACAGTAACTTGTAAGTCCTTGAATATTGATTTCTCAGATAAATTTGGGAAGGTAAGCCAATTCTTTAACTTTGACACAAATAATTCCTTAAATGATTTCATAGTGAATCTGATAGTTATCACAGGAGTGGTTTCCAGAATTGAAAGGCTGATTTGCTCTCTTGGAGGCTGGTTTCATTATGATCACTGTTCTTCTACAACCCTGTAAGGCTTAATTACAAGTTTTTAATTCCACCTTATCTACTAATTGGAAATAAATAAATATGACATGTGGAGGAAAGTAAGGAAAAGATAATAAAGTCAATTAAAATGAGGTGTGGAAATTAAAGAGTAGAAAATACTATACTATTGTTTTAAAGCATGAGATGAAGTACTTCTTAATTTTACTTACCCTCTCCCTGGAAGAAGGTACACTTTCACAAAAGGGTCAGAATAACCATTGTTGTCTCGAGGAACAAGATTTCTTGCTTGGAGAATATGTATTATGAGATTTCCAAGATCATAGTTAATTTGAAGCTTTAGGAGAGAGAAAAATATTCCATAAGTTTTTAAAAGCATGTTATACATTATCATTCAATATTTACTAGTTTTTTTTAAAGAAAATTCTTATAAGAAGCATCAACTTTCATTTTCATTTTATTTGAAACCAAACAGACCAGTTAATGTCTAATTTAATTGAGAGCTCCCAGGCATATTTTAATTCCTAGCAAACATGCTGTTCATTCTTTCCACAGTGAAAAGGCCTGGCCTGTTTAAAAGTTTATTTAGAAGGAAAATCATAAGGTAGAATGCTGGTTATCTTTTTTAATTAAATTGCTACTCTTAGGAAAATAGTAAATGTTGTTAATGTTTATTAACAACAATTCCTAGAATTTTGAAAAGAAATTAACTAATTGGTAAATTATTATAAAGTATTATTTGCATTTTGCCAAATAATTAGCAGTGGGGTGGAACTGTCATTTAAAGATAAAGCTGTCAGCACTGAAATGTAAGAATATTTAAGAATACACAGATTATTACTTTTTAATGTTATATTATCTGATATTAAACCTATAGATACCTTTCGGTACCAGCTTTCCTAATAGAGTGAGATACTACAATACTCTTTTTTTCTTTTAATTTTAGAAGCTGAAAAAAGAAGAGACATTGCTTTATAGATGCTTATTGGCTGCTGCACAATTGTGGCTGAATACTAAAAGACATAATTCAAACAAATATTTGAGAAAACTGCATAATTCAAAATAATTGAGTTAAGCATTTTTTTCTTCTACAATTGAAAGACTCTTTTGGCATCATTTAGAATAAAGCTTAATTCTGTTTGATGTTACTTTTGTTTGTTAAATAATAGAGTGGAAGGGATCCATATTTCAAAGGGCAAATCCATATAGAAAGATACTAACTTTTAAAATAATCCATATAAAACAGATATGCTGCATTTATATTTAAAATAGGATAACTCAGATGAGTCATACTTTCCTGTAAAACTTCATAATGAAATAAATCCTCATTTTAGTATAATTTTGATCTTATTATGTTTCCTGTCAGAAAATACATATTCAATTGCTTATCTCCATCCAGAAAAGACTAGAGTCCCTGACCATAATAAAAGCACAGTGAAAAAGAAAGCAAAGTACCATTAAAGAAGAGGAGAAAGGGGAAGTTTAGAACTCTATGCCATCATGCAGCAACTGTATGCTATAATCTGGTACTGAAATACAGAATATAAAATAACCTGTAATTAATACCACTGAAATTTCAAACAACTTCCTGATCTTTATTTAAGGAGAAACACTTCCCCATTCTCTCCTTTCTCTGCCAGCCTTAGAATCCACTTTTAAGTGATGAAGCACCCAAACCGTTTCTTATTGAAATGAAAACTTGCAGGCCACCCGAAGAGAGTGCTTTTCAAAATTTGCTCTGTATGGCCTTAGGGAACATCTAGAGTTACTCAGGGTCAGCTTTGAGAGAGAATGGGATGCCCCAGCAATCTTCAATCACAGCGACTCCAGTGCTGATAGATTCATGGTTTGGTTGTCTACATAAGATTTCATTTGAAATGAGCCTTTGCTAAAATAAAATAATAATAATAATAATTGAAATCACTGCCTTACGAAAATATCCCCCAAATTAAGAAGGAATAATAGTAGGGTAAATTTCAACTACAGAATTACATCTTACTCCTTAAGGGAAAGCAAAATAAAATTAGAAAAAACAACAACAATAAAAACAAAAAACACAGTCCAAAAGAAACACTAGTCCAAGGACAGAAGTTTAAAAATAGTAGGAAAGAGAAAGAAGGCTATTAAGAATCAGAAATTCTAGCATTTTCTTTGCTGTTTGTGAAATGAAGAAAGATCAAGTCAGTGAAAAACAGGCTTTCTGGAAGTTGGAAATAGCAGAGAAACAGCCGGATCTGGAGTACAGAGGTCATCAGGGTAGTACTGTTAGTTTGTTCTTAGTAACGTGTCAACCTTCTGCACATTTTCTCCATTTCCACGCTCACACTCCACTTCTGCTTTGTAGTAGGTTCCTGGATAATCACTTAATTGATTTCTTTGCCTCAATGTCCTCCCTTTATAATATTTCTTGTAGGTCACTGCCATATGAATTTTTATTACACATTCTTTTCAAATAGTCTCTCTCTTACTCCAAAATAGAGATCATGGTATATTATGTAGTGGCTAACATTCCTAGGATTGTGTTCAAGTTTCTTTTTAATTTAGTCTTAACCTACTTCTCGAAGCTGATTCTTCAACCATTACTCTCGGACAACAATACCTTTAATTGTACTCTTTCTTCTCCAGGAACATAATCTCCCTTTCTTTATGCTTATCTTCAAATTAATTCGAGTTTCTGTTATCCTTTGTGAAGTCTTTTGTGAAAATTTCCTCTAGAATGTATTAGAGATGCAGCTAAGACTCTCTTTCATCTGAAACATACTGTTTTCAATTAGTTACTATTTTATAGTGTTAATTCTTTCTATATGCTATTTCTTATTTAGTCTAAATTACTTCTTGGTATCACCTAAGGTGCAGGTTTTAAAGTTTTATTTTTACTATGACCCACAATCAGAAATATATAAATATCAAAACACAGAGAGAATTTAAAAAGATGATTATCTTTTTATTTTTATATATTTTTCTTTATCTATTTTTATTTTATTTTCCTGATGAAAATTAATTTTATAAGTTACAAAGCAGTTATGACTTATGCTATGAAAAATACTTCTCTACAAAAACTATTCAGCAATTTTTAAAGCAATTTTTGATTAAAAGAAGAAAAAATCCCAGTAGACTCATGAAACTCTTAAAGAGGAAACTTCAAATTTCCAGGAGAATCTGTCATGTTTAAAATACATTCGACAAATATAAAGTAACTGAGGCACAAAACATGTTGACACTGCTAAGATATCAGGCAGATTTCAAAGTATAGAAATACATAGCTATGATTGGACTTCATAAAACATATATTTGTATTAATATACTATTCTATAAAATTGCATTTTTCCTTTACAGTTCTGTATATATTACAGAATAAGAAAAATCCTAACAGTGTGTTTACAATTTCAACAAACCAGTGGCAAAACAACCAAAAAAGGTTATATAATGGCGACTTTTTAAAAAACTTCATACCTGAATTTCTCCTGTAATTGGATGAGAGACAACCTTTGTTCCATCGGTAGGCTGTAATATTAAAGAACATATATTACATTAATAGATACATTTTTCACATAATTTATCATTTCGGCTTCCTTCTGAAATTAGTTTCTATTTGGTCAGAGCAACTGCTTGGAAAATATATTTTATCCATTTGGCTGCTTCAGAATAATGGTGTCTACTTACGGTTCTCAATACACATTTAATTTTACAGATGCATAAATCTATTTTTCATTTTGGTAAGCCGGCTTTGAAGCTGTAATTTTATACCAGCAGTATTTTCAATTACTTAAGAAAATGAACACTTTAGGTTTAAAGCACTTAATTAAAGTATCTACAGGTTTTAAAGATCTATACAGTAATGTTTAAAATACATTCAACAAATAAAAGATTGGTTTAATACAAGAACTGCCGAGGAGCACAGAAGGTAGAAAAGTCCTTCTTTCACTTCTTTGCTGAATGCTCAGCACCTCCCTGCTCCCTTCCAGAGTGAATCACCCACTCAATCACTTTCCCTATAAAAATTCCAAAGAAATTTTTATAGAACTAGTAAAACATTCCTAAAATTCATTTACAGCCACAAAAGACCCTAATAGCCAAAGCAATTTTAAGCTAAAAGAACAAAGCCAGAGGAATTATGCTACTTGATTTCAAAATCTACTACAAAGCTATAGTAATCAAAGCAGCATGGTATGGCTTAAAAGCAGACAGACATATGGAATGGAACACAATAGACAACCCCCAAATAAATACATTCATTTACAGTCAATTGACTTTCAGCAAAGATGTTAAGAACACATAATGGGCAAAGGATAGTCTCTCTAATAAATGGTACCAGGAAAATTGGACATCCACATGCAGAGGAATAAACTTAGATCCTTATCTCACACCATATACAAAAATCATCTCAAAATAGATTAAAGATTTAAATATAAGACCTGAAAATTTAAAATTATTAGAGAGAAACATAAGGGAAAAGCTCTATGACATTGGTCTGACCAAAGATTTTTTTGGAGATGACTCCGAAAGCACAGGCAACAAAAGCAAAAATAAAAAATAGAAGTACAACAAACTAAAAGTCTTTTGCATAGCCAATCAGCTTCTGCTGATTGTTTCAATCAACAGAGTGAAGAGACAACCTATAGAATGTGAGAAAATATTTGCAAACCGTACATCTGACAGGGTGTTAATATCCAAAATATACAAGAAAGTCAAACAACTCAACAGCAGGAAAACAAATAACCTGAATTAAAAATGGGCAGAGATTTGGAATAGACATTTCTCAGAAGAAGACATACAAAGGACTAAGAGGTATATAAAAAATCAACATCATTAATCATCAGAGAAATACAAATTAAAACCACAATGAGATATCAACTCACCCCAGTCAAAATGGCTGTTATCCAAAAGAAAAAAGATAGTGAGTGATGGTGAGAATGTGGAGAAAGGGAACCCTTGTACACTGTTGGTGGGAATGTAAATTGATATATCCATAATGGAAAACAGTATGGAGGTTCCTCAAAAAAATTAAAAATAGAGCTACCATATGATCCAGCAATCTCACTGCTGAGCATATATCCAAAGGAAACGAGATCAGTATGTCAGAGATACCAACACTCTCAGGTTCATTGCAGCATTATTCACAATAGCCCAGATATAGTACCAACCTAAGTGTCTATCAATTGATGATTAGGTAACGAAAATGTGTTACATATACACAACAGAATATTATTTAGCCTTAAAAAACAAGGAAGTCCTGTCATTTGTAACAAGATGGATAAACCTGAAGGACATTATGTTAAGTGGAATAATTCATGCACAGAGAGATAAATGCCACATTATCTCACTCATATGTGGAATCTAACAAAGTTGAACTTATAGAAGCATAGAGAAGAATGGTAGTTACCAGGGGCTAAGAGAAAAGGAAGGATTGGAATGATGGTCAAAGGGTACAAACTTCTCTTAGAAGGAAGTCAAAAGCTCTGTTATACAACATGGTGACTACAGTTAATAGTAAATGTATATATTCTTCAAAATTGTGAAGAGAGTAGATTTAAAAAAAATTTTTTTAAGCCAAATATTTCAGAGGAATGAAGAGTAGATTTCAAGTGTTCGGACCACAAAAAAATAAGTGAGGTAATCCATGTTAATTAGCTCAATGTAGCCATTCCACAACGTATTCATTTTTTTTTTTTTTTTGGAGACAGAGTCTCACTCTGTCCCCTCCGGCTAGAGTGCAGTGGTGTGATCTCTGCTCACTGCAACTCCGCCTCCCATATTCAAGTGATTCTCCCACCTCAGCCTCCTGAGCAGCTGGGACTACAGGCATGTGCCACCAGACCTGGCTAATTTTTGTATTTTTTGGTAGAGATGGGGTTTCACTGTGTTGGTTAGGGTGGTCTCGAACTCCTGGTCTCAAGTGCTCTGCCTCTCCTGGCCTCCCAAAATGCGGGGATTACAGGCATGAGCCACCATGCCAGGCCACAATGTATACATATTTTAAAACATCATGCTGTACAGTATAAACATATACAAGTTTTGTTAATTAAAAATAATTTAAAATTTAAAAATCTAAGCAATATTGCATGAGATGGTTAATTGCTTAATTTAAAAAGAAGTTGTCTTCAAATATGTTCAAATTGTATTTTTATAACATAGAAACATCTACAAAACAGAATTTAGTATTAATTATGTTGGTATTTTAGTTGGCTAGTTTATGAATTATTTTTAAATGATTATCAAAATAGAGCCTCTATAAAGTAATTATTCAAAATTAGCACATAATTGCTTGTGGTAAAATGTAGTTGTGTTAAAATTTATTTTAAAATTTAGCCTAACTGCCTTTGAAATTACTTTGCTTATGAAGCTTTTCTATATTTAGTTTCAAACAAATCATTTTACGATGCAATGATTAAGGTCAACCTACTTTTGTTGTTTGCTTCTGAATAAAAGGATTCTTTTTTTGGTGACATCTGCTGTATTTTTATAGTTAAAAAACAAACTTTATTTTTTATGTCTGGTCACTTGACCTAAGCATATACAGCCTGTCCTTCCCATATATCTCACCACATAAAGACAAACCTTTATTCATTTTTAAACAAAAGGACACTTTTTTCGCATGTATTTATCAACTACAGGGATAGTTTTTCTTAAGAATCAAATCTATGAGGGAAATCATAAATTTTGTATATTTCCTCTGCTTTTTATAAGGTTAAAAAATAATTTTATGCTTTTTTAAATTCCCCGGCACTTTGAAACAATAGCATTGGAAGCATTTGTTTCGAATGAAGATTTGCATCAATAAAAAAATTCTTAATATGGAATTGAGGATAAAGTTCAAAGTAGTGATAACATGTTACTGGTTTTCCTTGTTTGTTATTGTCTTAAATTTTCTTTATCACTGTGTCCTTTTTACTTTTTACTTAATTATAAAATCTAATGTAATATGTACCTTTTGTTCCAAAAAGATGCAAAGCTAATATTCTATATACGTATCTCAGATTCATGCAACAACAAAGAGAACCAGAAAATATAAAGTATCAGAGACATTTTTCAAGTTCCTCATAATAACTACTGAAATATTTAAAAGATGTAGAAATACATCATCTTGATACATCTTGATCAGTTTTGTACTCAGAAGAGAAAAAATGTTTCTTGTTTTGATAGATCATCTGGAAATGAGAAATCATAAGAAAAATACTTTAGAAAATGATATTTTATTTTCTGTCTCTATGCTGAATAAAGAGCTAGAAAACAAGTGGGTCAGAGGTCACATCAACAATCCTCACCTTGCTGCTGCCGTGCTTCTTTTTGCTCACTGAGGGGGACCCTGGTTGCCCAGGGCTGGGAACGGAACTGGATCCTGCTGATGTAGGACCTGAATGAACATGAGATCCTTTTTCAACAACTGATGACAGAACCAGCGGTGACTGCTGTAGTGAAACCTTCTGGAGTTCTGCTGCCAACTGCTTAGGATCAACCCCTGGGGATTTCGCCTTATCCACTACAACAAAATGAAAGAGATTTACATACTTCTCCATTTCATAGGTACTTTATACCATGGAACTATGTGAGTTCTAGGTGACAAAGGTAAAACATTACCTATAAAATAAGCTAAACTTTAAAAATGAAATTAACTCTATTGTACTTTTATGTATCAATTTCTAAGGAAGTCTACAAGGCTCTGAGAAGAGTGACATAATGCTGAATTACAGAGGAATAGTGAAGTTCCCGTTGCATCTTCAGAAAAATGTTTTTAATATTTTACATAAAGAATTGTTTGAATGATGCAATATCCTATTTTATCCATTGGAACTTAATTTGTATGATTAGCTGTTTTTCCTTCCTTAAATTTTACATAGTTCTTTCTCTAAGGGGAAAATTTTCTAAGGGGAAAATTTTAATGGGTTTATTTATATTTACAAATGTATTAAAATTCGTATAGCACTTGGTCTATTCTGCTTAGTACAATAACCCAGACTACTAGAATTGTGGCTGTCAGAGTAGGAAGTGCTCAACAAAATTTATTAAACATAGGAAAAAGTGATGTTTTTAATCTTACAATGGATTTAACAAATTTGTAGATTATATTTGTTATTCAAGAAAGAGTTAAATCTATCTCATCATGTACTTATGAAATTACATGTTGATTTTTGTTTACTATAAAAAGGCAATGAAAGAGTTCAGGAATAATTTTTTCAAAAACCCAGTTATTCTAAAAAGAATCAAGTACGCTCTAAAAATTATGTAAAACCAAAATGAAATGGCTCCAAGCATTACTTTCACAGGATGAATTCATATTTAAAGAATTAAAACTGTGAACTCATGCAGCAAGGATTTTACGTGAACTTGTTTAAGGGGACTAACATGCAAATATGTATTTCCCCAGAATGCTAACACTGTAGCTACAATGCCCTAGATTTTGTTTATAATTATATAAATACATAAAAAAATCTATCCATAACTTTATATTTGTCTATATCTGTGTTTATGTCTACATCTTCATCTACAATTACATCTGCCTCTGCAATTACTTCTATTTCTATCTCTTTATTTACAGTTGAAACTAGATTTCTTTTACCTACCAGCTTTTGGTGGCTCATGAAGTTCCAGATGCTGGGAATTTTCAGAATCTGATAGCATATTGAGGTCCCTAAAAATTAAAACAAAACATTAAGAAAGATATTGAGGAAATCTGAGACAAAGAGCACTTTTTTCCAACTACCCTTAATTTTTTTCATAGGTAAATGAGAAGTGGTTAATGATATAAAGCAACTCCAAAGCATGCCTACCATCCTAACCCAATATATATTTGCAATGCAGTTAAAAGTCAGAGCTGATAAAAATGATTATTTAAGGTGAAATCTTTATGAATTAAATGTAAGTTCATTTTTAAATACATATCCATGAAATCTAAATGGGTTCAGGCTTTCATTTAAATGAAGCATGTTTCCATAAAAGCATGAAAGGGAAGAGGCTGTTGACACAATCAGAAACTAAGTTAGCTGAATTCTTTCTATGCTTTAGGCTTTGATTCACTTTATTTTATAATTCCAGAAAATCTTGCTAACTGGCAAAGGTTCCACCTTAACAATTTTAAATTAAAAGAGTCATGGATAGCCAAAAAATGGAAACAGAAAGATGGGGAAAAACTCACAGTCTTACACATATTTCTGCTTCCCCACTTTGCTGACTAATGATACTCTGAACTTCTTCATATGTTTTAGAAGTCAAGGGAATTCCATTCCATTCCAATACTTGCATCCCTAGAAAGACAAATTTGAATATAAAATCAAACGTGTGCTATCTCTAGTCTGGGTACATATGGCATTGAAGACATTTATTTGCATTTAGAAGTCAACTCAGCACACCATTTTAGAGAACATCAGTTCCAAGTTCTCTGCAACATTAATACCAAAACCATTATGTAGTTTGATCTCATTAACTTACCTGAACACATAAAATATATTTAATACAACATGCAAAATTTTGCTTTTGAAAATCTGTGTAATATTATCAAACGCATGCATTCTGTTCACACTGCCATAAAAAACATTATTGAATATATATTGCTCAGACCAATTTTGTATAGGAAACAAACAAACAAACAATTAGAAACCCCAATATAATTTTCCTGCGGGGAACAAGCTACTAGAAGAATGTATTTGGTACTTTATCATGAAATGGGAGCAGTAGAAAAAAGTCATTTGGATTTCTCCATTTCAGAAACTGTTGTAGCTTCTATTTTGTCCAGATGAAACAGAATGCCACTTCGTGTCTTTTTCTTCACGGTATGCCAGACATCCCTGAATTGAGGAATAGCAGGAATGTTATAGGAAGGGCAGCTGCAGGGGTCTGTGACCTGTGCACTAGTACAAGGCCCTGTGCTCAGAAAGGCCTATGCTTGGTTTAATGCTCTGCTGTTGTCATCTTGACATTCTTAGTAACATTTGAACAAGGAACCCACATTTTAATTTTGCACTGGGTTTTGTAAATTATGTAGCTGGCCTGGCCTGACCTGGTCAGGGCATTTCATTTTTCCTCTCTATCTAGAAAGATAATTTCATAGAAAAAAGAAAAGTGTAACATAATTAATATTTCAATATTTTACATCTAGCTCCTTTGGTCCATTTTATATGACCTGTCAAAATCATTGAGGGGTCCACGTGTGGCATGATTCACATTGTCCTGACATGCAGCTATGTGAACTGGGTACAGTAGATGAACCCATCCAAGATAGTGCTCAAATATTTGTGAACTTCACCAGCTTTATTTGAGAAAAATGTCTATATACCACAATTATGTTGTTGAACCATTAGTTAGTTTTTTTTTTTTTTTTTTTTTTTTTTAAACAGGTCCCACTCTGTCGCCCAGACTGGAGTGCAGTGGTGTAATCTCTGCTCACTGCAAGCTCCGCCTTCCAGGTTCAAGCAATTCTCCTGCCTCAGCCTCCCAAGTAGCTGGGATTACAGGTGTGCGCCACCACGCCTGGCTAATTTTTGTATTTTTAGTAGAGACAGAGTTTCACCATGTTGGCCAGGCTGGTCTCAAACTCCTAACCTCAAATGATCCGCCTGCCTCAGCCTCCCAAAGTGCTGGGATTATAGGCATAAGCCACTGTGCCTGGCCTGAACCATTAGGTTTTTAATGAGCTTCACAGATGCCTATGTGAAATTACCTATTGATCATCATTGGCTCCAATGGGAAATTCTAAACATGGCATGATTGTATATTTAAAAGTTTTGATGATTATGATATATATTAGAAAGCATATTACCAGTTGCAAGTAAGTAAAGGAAAAACTTTTACACTATAGTCAAATGGTAAAAGAATTCCATAAAAAGGCTCACAATAACACAAACAAGAATGACTTTTCTATAACTTACTCCAAGGAAACTTTATCTTCAGATGGGCCTTAGGTTTATTTCAACAATCCCAGGCTGTTGTACATATAAAATGAGAAAATTATGTAAAAGACAGTGACAACAACACTAAATAAAAATATAGCACGCTGAAAGAGGAAAATAAAGCACTTTTTTTAAATAAGGAGGAAGAGTACATTAATAAACAGATGATTTTGAATTCAATCAAATTAAAGTTATTATATTTCAGAAATTTCATTGTCACATTTCTGCAGGAGCACATACTATGAAAAGGAATAGTCACATATTTTCATGCTTTTTCTGTTGAATTTACCTGTTCATTCTTCACATCCCAAAATAAAAGGGCAAATTTACAAAACAATTATCCTGTAAAATTAAAAAAATGCTTCTAAAGAACTAGTATGGTTAATAAAATCTCTTAAAAAATTATACAGATAACTAGGGTCTCGCCTGGATATACACCTGACACCATAAACTACATGATCTGCTCCATACCACAATGCACCAATGGAAATTCTTTTTGCGCCACCTCAGTTTCCCACCCTAGTTGTTTCAGTGCTGTAGTTCAAAAGAATGGGACAATTCTTTTATCATTGCTTGTTGCCTACAGTGAGACACCATAGGGAAGATGACCACTGAACACAGTCATTTAATAATATTTTCCTTTTCTATTGTCTATCTTCCTACAAATTCTATGAGCCATATTAAAATAATGAATGATATACAGGTATAACAAATCGCTCCTTATTTATCTCAAAAGAGGTTCTAGTAGTTGTGAAAATTAAATATGGCATTTCGAATATATATGAAAAATATTTGTTAATTGTAACATTATATAAACTATTTAAAATGCATGCAAAATTTGTTGAAAATTATTATGATCTGTGGATGTTCAATAATGTATCTTGTCATTTAATAGGTTTGAATATAAGCATTTTTAGTCTCAAAACAGCTTTTCACACTGCGTTTTAGAAAGATTTTCTGGAAAATATTACCCATGTGAATTATGATATGTATTATTTAGTATTATAAGTAAACATTTATATTTTCTTTACATTTAAATTACTACAAATTTCAGGTATGAAAGTACACAGATGAGACTTAAATTCCTTGAAAGTACCTATTTAAATAGCTTATTATTATTATTATTTATTTATTTTTTGAGACAGGGTCTTGCACTATCACCCAGGCTAGAGTGCAGTGGCACAATCTTGGCTCACTGCAACCTCTGCCAACCGGGTTCAAGTGATTCTCCTGCCTTAGGCTCCTGAGTAGCTGGGATTACAGGCACCCACCACCACACCCAGCTAGTTTTTGCATTTTTAGTAGAGACAGGGTTTCACCATGTTGGCCAGCCTGGTCTTGAACTCCTGACCTCAAGTGATCCACTGACCTCAGCCTCCCAAAGTGCTGGGATTACAGGCGTGAGCCACCATGCCTGGCCTTTAATAGCTTTTAATAGGAAATTAAGACAGTCTGGAGTTTTGCTGAATATGTAGCATCGATGATAGGATTTGTTGCAAAGTCTTTTGCTTAATAGGCTACTAAACACTGAAAAAGACAATAATTAGGTAATTCAAGAACTTAGTATTAACATAAAACATTATCAAATATATGTTTTCATAACCTCTAGGATTACTTAATATTGTATGCTCCTTAAATGGGCAAAAGCTATTCCTCTCTTTATAATACAAAATTTCATGTTATTTCTTGATCTATATTTAATATTTACCATCACATTAAAAACATCTTACTGACTAAAATTATTCAGTTAGTTAAAAATCTTACAGGTTACTCTACATCCAAACATATGCCACACAAAAGCTCCTGACGTCTGTTCATTTTATTCATTCCACATGTATTTTTCTAACACTTCATATGTGGTAGGCACTACACAATTCATCACCTTTGCTTATGTCTAACATTTTATGGTGTTATAAAAATTAATAAAAATGATAGTCTACTAGAAAACAATTGGAAATATCTAAGCAATTAGTAAAATAAAGATCATTCACACAGGAGGAAGTTCCAAAACTTTTGCAAGTATATGAAGAAAACCCCAGATTCATTAGTCATTAGAAAGTGCAAATTGAAGCCATAATATATTACCTAACTGTCATCATATTGGGACATATTTGAAAACCATAAAATGCTATGTGTTGATTGGAATGTGGGATTGGTGACCTTGAGTGACTATAAATAGATAAAACAACCCCTTATTTACAATTTATTAACATGTAATTATTTTAATGAGAATGCACATGAGTGCAACTGTTCTGGAAGGCAATCTGGCAGAATGTAGTTAAATTAAGCATATGCATACTCTATCACCTAAAAATTCTTTGTGGGTATGTATTTGTGAGGAGGTGGAGGTATCAAGAGAAATAGGCATTGAGAGCATTGAGAGTGCTGTGAACGCTCACGATGAAAATACTTGGCAGAGGCTGGAAGAAACAGACCATACCAGGTGTTAACACCAGAAGGTGGATCCATCCTGAAGTCTTTGCCAAGTTAAAAACAAGTGAGAAACAGGATCTGACCTATAGGGCAATGTTATTTATGTTGATTTAAATAACACGCGCACAAAATAAATCATTACATATTTTATGAATAAATACCAAGCATCTCATAAATTATAATAGTTGTTCACAGAAGGGAGAGCAGAATGGGAAAATAAGATAGAGGAAAATGAATGTGTTAATAAATGAATAAAGAAATGAAAAAAATGCAGGAGCAGACCTTGAAAAAAAACAAAGGCCCAAACCTAATTTAAAAATGTGTAGTATAAATTATTTGTAATTTGTTTGCTATCTTTTCCATACTAAGATTATTAATCACGACTATAGGTTAATTTTCCAAATTTGAACAATCACTCTCAGGAGTCTTCTATAAAGCGCTAGCAGCAGCAGCAAAAGATCAGCTGAACATGGCCATCTCCCCTGGCGGACTCAACAGCAAACACATCTTGCAAGTGGGGTTCAATACAATTGTCCAAATCAATTATACTCATTGCTCATTCATTTTAATGTTAGGCAGTGTTAATGTATGAGAAAGACATAGATAGAGAAGTGGATTTTATTTTTTAAATTTATATATTTTTCATATTTTACAATTTTGATCTATTTATATATTAACATAAAAGGGGGAAAGGTAAGAAGGATGGAAGAAAGGAAAGAAGAAGGATCAAAGAAAGGAAGGAGTAAAAAGAAAGGAAGGGGGGAATCTTTGGTAAAGGAAAAAACTAGTATTTGAATAGTGTCCTGCTTATTTACAGAACAAGGAGATACACTCAGTCATAATAAGAGATTTAAACTAGGGTATATTTTCCTGAGTATATTTATTTTGAAATATACAATAAACTATTTGTAATGGTTAATATTGAGTGTCAACTTGATTGGATTGAAGGATGCAGTATTGTTCCTGGGTGTGTCTGTGAGGGTGTTGCCAAATCAGATTAACATTTTAGTCAATGAGCTGGGAGAGGCTGACCCACCCTCAGTCTGGGTGGGTACCAGCTAATCAGCTGCCAGTGTGGCTAGAATAAAGCAGGCAGAAGAAGCTGGAAAGAGCCGACCTGCTGAGTCTTCCGGCCTTCATCTTTCTCTAGTGATGGATGCTTCCTGCCCTAGAACATCAGACTCCAAGTTCTTTAGCTTTTGGACTCTTGGATGTACACCAGTGGTTTGCCAGGGACTCTTGGGCCTTTGGGCACTGCTGGCTTCCTACTTTTGAGGTTTTGGGATTCGGGCTGATCCACTACTGGTTTCCTTGCTCCTCAACTTGCAGATGGCCTATCATGCGACTTTATATTGTGATCGTGAGTCAATTCTCCTTAATAAACTCCCTTTCATATATACATATATCCTATTAGTGCTATCTCTCTAGAGAACCCTGACTAATCCACTGTTGTTAAGTATATTCACTCTACTGTGCTATTGAACACTGGATCTTATTTATTCTCTCCAACTGTATTTTTGTACCCATTAACCAACCTCTTTTCATGCCTCACTTAAAATCCTTCCCAGCCTTTGGCAACCATCATTTTATTCTCCATCTGTATGAGATCAACATTTTTAGCTCCTACATATGGAGTGAGAACACGCAATATTTTATTTTCTATGACTGGCTTATTTCATCTAACATAATGACCTCCAATTCCAGCCCTGTTGCTGCAAATGATGAGATCTCATTCCTTTTTATGGCTGAATAGAATTCCATGGTGTATACAGGTACAATCTCTTTACCCATTTATAAAATTTTGAAGTTGAAAAGTGTTGTGTTGAAGAGCTAATCTCATAATAATATTGATATTTTTTAAATTATTATTGCTATTATTTTTATTTTTTGTACTCATGGTTCAAACAAAACTTAAAATAGAGCTTCAATATACAAAATATATAAAAATGGGCCTACTTTCATCAAAGCAGGCTCAATCTGCCTTCTAGCCTCCTCACCATTCTCCAGATCCTATTCTATGGGTACCCTTAGACACACTCTGTTTCCCTGATGTACATGAGTTGTGAGTTTAAAATAACATAACAACCTGAATAAGGGCATAAGAACAATTGCTATTAACTAGGACACTGTTTCTTGAGATGTACTGGAAGGAAGGTACTCTGAATTTCCGTTTATTGAAAATGAAATCTTAATTGGTTTAAAAACTATAATTTTTTTAAACCCAATAACTATAGGAATAAGGCTTTCAAATAGAGCTCTGTGTAATATTTACCATTAAAAATTAAAATTTGCCTATCTCTCAATAAACAGAATACACACTATTTTTATATAGATAAATATTTTCTTTATCAGAAATATGGTTTATGAGCCACCTTGCTGTTGGTAGCTGACTGTTGACATGTTCTTTTCACCCTAATTGAATTGTGTTCACATGTAGTTTGGTTATTTACTAGTTGTTGTGCCCTTGAGCAAGTTGGTTAATCCTCCTTCATCCTTGACTCCCTCAAGGGGATTATACTTGCTAGGTGACTGCTCTAGTTTTATTTCCATCCTATGATAGAGAATACAATATGACAGAATGGGAAACACAAAACAGCTGCTTGTTTACAACTTGTAAATATGCATTTTTTGAGCTGAAGGTTTATATAAGAAATTTAAAAAATACTTTAGGATCCTAAAACTTCCATTTTGTTCTTAATTATTTTCCTTATCTATAGCTGTTCTTGACATATACAGTAAAACTTCCCCAAGCATAGAAATCATGTCATCTAATTTTTCTTTTTTGCACTTCCCACATCTCCTCTCATGGCCCTCTCAGTGGCAGTTGTCCAGGTTCTTTGGCTTTGTCTTTGCTCCCCTGGGTGCCAATGGTGTCCCCCTTACTGAGTTTCTTTTCTCTCGGCATTGTTACATTGTTATATTTGTAACATTTGGATTGGTTAACTCTGCATGGGACATCCAATCTGCAGTCTGAATCTAAATTTGGTTTAAATCTACATGCCAAGCAGACAAATATTTATCATTAATGCCACTAACCCAAAGTTGATTTAAATGCAAAATACCAAAATTTTACTCCATCATACACTTAAAAAACATGTGATACGTCATAATCTTATCTCTTCATAATATAAAGATAATATAATTTTAAACTCATTAAAAATTTTAATGCAAATTTTATAAATGAATATTCTTTCAAATTTTAGTAGTATTAAATATACATACACAGGAGATTTGCAGTATCATCCTACTCTTTTGCTTTAAGTCACTGTATTTTTATATTGAATATAAAATGAATGAAACAGATTGTTATGCAAACTTATATGCTATGATAATATACTCTGTTTCCATTTTTGGGCAGGACTGTTGACAAGAATTCTTTAGATAAATGTTATACAGCATGGATATCTTTTTAAATCGCTCAGAGTTAGAGAAGGTAAATTCTGTATTTGAAACTCTCATTGATTTGGGATGTGATCTTGGACAATTTACTTTCCATGTACTTTCTTTCACTCTCAAATTTTGTGAAGAACAAGCAATTAAAATTAGCAAAGTGTGGCTTGCATATATAAACTCCAAAATGAAATAAATTTACATATTTTTAAAACTTTTCATCACATTTTGAATAAAAGAAATTTAAGAAATACCAAAGACTACAGTTGAATGGTCTGAGCTGACTGGTATTTCTTTTCTAGGTCTGAGTACATTGAAAGTATTTAGAGTCAATGACTTCTTTACTCACATATCTAAAATAGATTTAGCTCCAATCACAAAAAAGTATAATTGTAAAATAAACAGATTCTTACTTATATCACAGTATTAATAGTTAACAATAAAAATATTGTTCAAAAGGATTTCATCGTCAAATGTGTTGTAAAAGCTCAAGTCACAACCATTTTTTAGGCTAATGTTATATAGTAAGCAAGATACTTATAAGTACTGTAGTTTTAATCTGTTATACTATATATTTAAAAAGTGACACCTAAGAGGTGATATAACTTGTCTAATATCCCACAGAATGGTAGTACAGAAATATGAACCCCAACCATCTCCTAGGCCAATGCATGTATCAGTAAATAAAAAAACTAATTCAACTTATGCCAACTAAGCCTACATGCTAGCCTACCTGAAGGCAAACTATGTTCAAATATGTGAAACTTAGCAAAAATAACATATATTATTTGTAATGCCATTTAAATTGCAACATAATATGATAATTTGGAAATTTTATTAATTGCCTACATGCTGATATTATTTGGAGGCTTGGACATGCAAAAACTGAAGACATTATTGAACGAAGAGAAAGTTGCTGTGGGATATATCACTTATGGTGAGTAAACAGTGACAGAAATGAATAAAATTTGATTGGGTCTCTTATCCCTTTTCCCCATCTCACTCCCAGAAGAGAAGACAATGTCGTATTTCTCCAGGGAGATTGATGAAAAATTATGCTGAATCTTACTGGGAAGAAAAATAATGTAAGAAGGATGAAAGAATAGGAGGTGCAGATTCAGTGCTAGGGAGGAAATGGTGGTTGGAGGTTCCAAAGGAAGTAGGGACCAGCATCCTGCTTGTTTATATTGCCTATGGAAGATGTCTGGCATATTTTTTCAATAAAAATTGCCAAGAGGTGCCTTTAGAAAGTTGAACACTAGATTCTGTGACTCTCAATGTAGGCAAAACTACTCTTGTGAAAACTTGGGCACAGTTAAGGGAGCTACTCATTATCAGGAAAGTGTGCTAGCTTTGACATTGCACTCTTAGTGGCGTGGACTGATGTACAGAGGCCCAAACTCCAGTGTTCTAGAATGTGTAATACCCTCACTGGGAAGTTCCTCAAGGCATGTGGTGCAGGAAACACCAAATGATGAATGCAATTCAATTTCCTACCAACAGATGAAAGAAAGATTGGACTTGATTACATTTGATTTACAGAAAAAGTAATATTTCTTATACTCAAATATGACTGTTGCAAAGATATGCTTTTTAAACATACTTAGTGTGAATAAGGGAATACAATTAGCCATGATTTGTGGACCAACCTGTTAGAAGATTATCATGATAAGATTCGATTTCTAATCACCGTGACCACTAAAACAATCCAGTCCAGTATTTCCTTGAAGGATTGGTATAGATGCCAAAAGCCACTTTATGGCTACAGTTCATTGTATGTCTCATTCTATGTGTTATTTGGAACAGACTGAATCAGAAAGTGGCTGAATGAGGCAGAATAAGGGATATGAGTATATTAGTATAATTTGATTGGCCCCTAGAAAATAATGTTACATGGGGAGTTATCCAATAATAGATATGTAATGTCATCATCTCACTTGAAGTAGATTGCAGTTTATAAGTTTATAACTTCTTCCTAGTTTAATATCACAATTTATTTGTTAGAATGCTCAGAATGGATGTTTTTTACTAACTTTCTAATAAAATGATATTAACAGATTAATACTGGTCTGCTGTGGTTTGAACGCCTCCTCAAAAACTCATGTTGCAATTTAATTGCCAATGTTATGGTATTGGGGGGTGGGTAGGGCCTTTAAGAGATGATGAGGCCAAGCCCTAA
Organism: Homo sapiens; assembly: GCF_000001405.40. Classification (NCBI taxonomy): domain Eukaryota; kingdom Metazoa; phylum Chordata; class Mammalia; order Primates; family Hominidae; genus Homo; species Homo sapiens. Next base: position 82,856,891 of record NC_000007.14, read on the forward strand.
TGGATGGATTAATGCCATTATTTCAGGAGTGGGTTAGTTATCCCAAAAGTGAGTTCCAGATACAAAGGATGAGTTCAACCTGATTTCCTTACTCTCTCTGTGTTGTATGCTTACTTGAAAGAGCATGCCTCTTCACTATTTTATGACACAGCAAGAAGGTCCTCTCAAGATGCCAGCACTGTGATCTTAGACTTATCAGCCTGAAGAACTTTAAGAAATGAATTTCTTTTCTTTATAAATTACTCAGTCTCTGCTATTCTCTCATAGTAGCAGAAAACAGACTAAAATGCTATCAAATCTTATGAATACCATAATCATTTAACAATAACAAACTAAACCAATACTATATGGATTGTGTAGAAATCCACAATTAATTGAATGGACTTAGGAAGCTAGGGTAGTTGATGCACTTAGGAATGAGAAATGCTTGCCTTAACTGTTGCCTCCTCTGCTTTAAGTATTCTTACTGAATTATTAATAATTTAACTTCAGTTATGTTGATAACCTTTATGATATTCATATATTCTGTACTGTTCTTTTTTAACTGTTACTTAAATGTATCTTACTACTCAGATGATAGATTTTAACATAAAATATCACTTTATACTAGGAAAGTGTCTCCTAACAAATATAAATGCTATCTGAACTAGTGGCAAAATCATCATCACTGCCACCACCATCTCCACTGTACATAGATATAAGGACAATATAAATTTCATTTTATAACATAATTTGACAGATAAAATACCCAGAAGTTTGCATAGATTACTGAGGTATAACTTTAAAGCATGTGTAAAATGAGATAAAATGGAAATCATGTTTCTGAAAAAGAAAGTTAGAAGAAAGAAATCTCTCAATCAAAATTTAAGAGTAAAAGGAAAATTCAAATATATTCATCCTATAGTATAAGAAAATAAAATGTTTCTTTTGACAAAGGAGGAGAGAGGTTTTATCACAACCCAAATATTAAAAGTATGCTTCACAAGAAATAATACAACATGGTCAATTGTTATGTATAAAAATGTTAATTAAAGATTAATATTTTAATTGAAGAGGAAGAAATACTTCCAAACTCATTGTATAAGGCCAGTATTACCCTGATACCAAGGCCAGACAAGGATGCTACAAAGGAAAATTACAGACCATTATCCCTGATGAACATAGATGCAAAACTTCTCAATAAAATACTAACATACTGAATTCAACAGCGCATTAAAATGATCATCCACCATGATCAAGTGGGATTTATCATTGGGATGCAACAAGGTTTCAACATATGGAAGTCAATACACGTGCTACACATTAAAAAAATGAAGAACAAAAAGCATATGATCATCTCAATAAATGTAGAAAAAGCATTTGACAAAATTCAACATCCTCTCATGACAAAAAACTCTCAACAAATTGTGTATACAAGGAATATACCTCAAAATGTTAAAGTCCATGTATGACAAATCTGCAACTAATATCATACTCAATGAAGAAAAGTTGAAAGTTTTTCTCTAAGATGTTGGTATCCATTCTCACTAATTCCATCAACATAGTACTGGAAGTCCTACCCAGAGCATTGGGAAAGAAAAAGAAAGAAAATACATCTATACTGGAGAAGAAAAGGTTAAAATTGTCTATTTGCAGATGACACGATGTTATATATGGAAAACAGTCAAGACTCCACCAAAATACTGTTATAATTAATAAACAAATTCAGTAAAGTTACAGGATATAAAATCAACAACAAAAATCAGCCTATACTATACTCAGCTTATACTATGCACTTCTAAACACTGACAAACTATCTGAAAAAGAAATTTTGAAATATCATATATGATAGCTACAAAAAGAAACTATTTGGGAATAAATTTAGCCAAGAAGGTGAAAAATCTATGCACTGAAAATGATAATACTGATGAAAGAAACTAAAAAAGACACAAATAATAGAAAAAATACTATGCGCCTATGGATCAGAAGACTCAATATTGTTAAAATGTCCATACTAACCAAAGTGATCTGCAGATTAAATGCAATCCCTACCAAAATTTCAATGTAATTTTTCATAGAAATAGAAAAAAATCTTGAAATTCATGTGGAACCACAAGAGATATGGTGTCTATGGGGTGAGGCTTGGCTCCTCTGAAAAGGCAGGGAAGAGTGGGAAGGATTGCGTTTGGTTGTTTGAGGGCCAGCTCAGCTGCAATACAATAGAACACCAGGTAGACTTCTAAGATTTTTGACTCTGGTTCCTGACTCCTGGATGGCACTTCTGGACCCACCTGGGGCCTGGTGGACCTCACCACCCTGAAGGGAAAGACAGGCCTGGCTGGCTTTGCCACCTGCTAATTGTAGAGTTCCAGGGCTGTGAGTGAACATAGGCAATAGACAGGAAGTGGTTATAGCAGGCCTTGGGCAAGATCCAGTGCTGTGCTGACTTTAGGTCTTACCCAGTGTAGTCACAGTGATGTTGCCCACAGGGGTGCTTGTGTCACTCAACCCCCAGCTTTAGGTGGCTCAGAACAGAGAGAGACAGACGTTATGTTTGGGAGAAAGTAAGAGAAGAGAACAAGAGTCTCTGTCTGGTAATCCAGAGAATTCTCCCAGATCTTGTGCTACACCACCAAGGTTGTACCTTTACAAGTCTGCCAGAACCACAGCATTACTGGGCTTGGGGTGCCCCCTAAAGCAGACATAGCTTAGACCATAACACCAAGTCATTTGAAATATCTGGAAAGCCTTCCCAAAAGGACAGTTACAAATAAGCCCAGACAGTAAAGACTACAGTAAATACCTAAGGGTCTTCAATGCCCAGACAGGAAAACATGACCTCACCTAATGAACTAAATAAGGCACCAAGAAACAATCCTGGAGAAACAAAGATATGTGACCTTTTAGACAAAGAATTCAAAATATTTGTGTTGAGGAAATGCTAAGAAACTCAAGAACACAGAGAAGGAATTCAGAATTCTATTAGATAAATTTAATAGAGTATGAAATAACTAAAAGGAATCAAGCAGAAATTCTGGAGGTGAAAAATGCAATAGATGCAACTGAATAATGCATCAGAGGTCTTTAATAGAAGAATTGATCAAGCAAAAGAAAGGATTAGTGAGCTTGAATACAGGCTATTTTAACGTACACCAAGAAGACAAAAAAAGAGAGAATTTTAAAAATAAAGCACACCTACAGGATCTAGGAAACGCCTCAAAAGGGCAAATCTAATAGTTATTGGCCTTAAAGAGGAAGTAGAGGAAGAGATTGGGGTAGAAAGTTTATTCAAAGGGATAATGACAGAGAATGTCCCAAACCTAGAGAAATATATCAATATCCAAGAACAAGAAGGTTTTAGAGGGCCAAGCAGATTTAACCCAAAGACAACTACCTAAAGGCATTTAATAATCAAACTCCCAAAGGTCAAGGATAAAGCAGCAAGAGAAAAAAAAATAACATACAATACAGCTCCAATACATCTGGTAGCAGACTTTTCAGTGGAAACCTTACGGGCCAGGGAGAGTGATATGACTTATTTAAAATGCTGAAGAAAAAAATCTTTTACGTTAGAATAGTATGTCTGGTAAAAATACCCTTCAAACATGAAGGAGAAATAAATACTTAACCCAGACAAAAAAAAGCTGAGGGATTTCAATACCAGAGCTGTCCTACAAGAGATGCTAAAGGGGGTACACTTCAATCACAAAGAAAAGGACAGTAATGAGCAATAAATAATCACCTGATGGTCCAAAATTCATTGGTAATAGTATGTACACAGAGAAACACATATTATTATAACGCTGTAACTGTAGTTTGTAAACTACTCTTATCCTAGGTAGAAGATTAAATGATGAACCAATCAAAAATAATAACTACAACAACTTTTCAAGACATAGCATAATAAGATATAAATAGAAACAACAAAAAGTTAAAAAGTGGGGGGATGAAATTAAGGCATAGAGTTTTTATTAGTTTTCTTTTTGCTTGTTTGTTTATGCAAATAGTGTTAAGTTATTATCAGGTTAAAATAATGGGTTATAAGATAGTATTTGCAAGCCTCAAGGTAACCTCAAACCAAAAAGCATATGATATATACGCAAAAAATAAAAAGCAAAAACTAAATTATATCACTAGAGAAAATCATCTTCACTAGAGGAAAACAGGAAGGAAAGAAAGGAGGAAGAGAAGACCAGAAAATAAACAACAAAATGGCAGGAGTAGGCTCTAACTTATCAGTAATAACATTGAATGTAAATGGACTAAACACTTCGATCAAAAGATATAGAGTGGCTGAATGGGTGAATAAACAAGACCCATTGTTCTGTTGCCTACAAGAAATACACTTAACCTGTAAAGACACACATAGACTGAAAATAAAGGGAGGGATGAAGATATTTCATGCCAATGTAAACCAAAAATGGGAACCTAGAAATTAATAACAGGAGGAATTTTGGAAACTATTCAAGTACATGGAGTTATTACACTTAGAAAAAGTAGATTCCAAGACAAAAGCTATAAGAAGAGACAAAGAAGTTCACTATATAATGATAAAGAGGTCAATTCAGCAAGAGAATATAACAATTGTAAATATATATGCACCCAACACTGGATTACCCAGATATGTAAGGGAAATATTGTTAGAGCTAAAGAGAGAGGTAGGCTCCATTACAATAATAGCTGGAGACTTCAAAACCCCATTTTCAGCAGAAAATCAGACAAAGAAACATGAGACTTAATCTACACTATAGACCAAATGGATCCAATAGATATTTATAGAACATTTCAGCCAAGAGCTGCGGAATACACATTCTTTTCCTCAGCACATGGATCATTCTCAAGGATAGACCACATGTTAGGTCACAAAACAAGTTTTAAAACATTCAAATAATGGAAATCACCAAGTATTTTCTCTTACTACAATGAAATAAATCTAGAAATAACCAGAGGAATTTTGGAAAGTATTCAAATATACAGAAATTAAACAATATGCTCCTGAATGACCAGTGGATCAATAAAGAAATTTAGAAATTGTAAAATTTCTTGAAACAAACGATAATGGAAACACATACTAAAACCCATGCAAAAGCAGTACTGAGAGGGAAGTTTATAGCTATAAGTGTCTAAATCAAAAAGAGAAAAAAGTTGAAATGAAAAATCTAATGACGCATCTTAAAGAACTAGAAAAGCAAGAGCAAACCAAACCCCAAATTAGTAGAAGAAAACAAATAATAAAGAACAGAGTGGAAATAAATGAAATCAAAATGATAAAAATACAAAAGCTCAACAAAACCAAAAATTGGTTTTTTGAAACAGATATATGAAAAGGTGCTTAACATCATTGATCATCAGAGAAATGAAAATCAAAACTACAACAAAATATAATTTCACCCCAGTTAAAATGGCTTATGTCCAAAAGACAGGCAATAACAAATGCTGATGAGGATGTGGAGAAAAGAGAACCCTTGTTCACTGTTGGTGGGAATGTAAATTGCTACAGTCAATATGCAGAAGAGTTTGGAGGTTCCTCACAAAACTAAACATTGATTTATCATATGAACCCACAATCCTACTGCTGGGTATATATCCAAAAGAAGGGAAATCAGTTTATTGAGGAGATATCTGCACTCCTATATTTATTGCTACACTGTTTACAACAGCTAAGAATTGGAAGCAACCAGAGCAAGACTCTGCCTCAAAAAAAAAAAAAAAAAAAAAGAATTGGAAGCAACCTAACTGTCCATCAACAGATGAATGAATAAAGAAAAGGTGACATATACACAATGGGGTACTATTCAGCCATAAAAAAGAACAAGATCCAGTCATTTGTAACAACATGGATGGAACTGGAGATCATCATGTTATGTGAAATAAGCCAGGCACAGAAGACAAACATCGCATGTTCTCGATTATTTGTGGGATCTAAAAATCAAAACTATTGAACTCATGGATATAGAGAGTAGAAGGATGGTTACTAGAGGTTGGAAATAGTAGTAGGGAGTTGGAGGGAAGGTGGGGATGGTTAAAGGGTACAAAAAATAGAATAAATAAGACCTGCTATTCGATGGCACAATAGTGTGACTATAGTCAATAATAACTTAATTGTACATTTCAAAATAACCTAATGAGTATAAATGTATTGTTTGTAACTCAAAGGATAAATGCTTGAGGGCATGGATACCCTATTCTCCATGATGTGTTTGTTTATCTTTGCATGCCTGTATGAAAACATCTCATGTACCTCATAAATATATATACCTACTATTTATCCAAAAAATTAAAAATTAAAAAGTTATACTTTGCTTACTTTGCTTATATTGGAGTCAATTATACTACATGATTATTATGAATGATATAATCAAAATTAAAAGGGTAAAGTTGATGCACAATTTCTTTCATAATTAGAAGTGTCAAAAGATGTAAATAACATAGAGAAGTCAGTTCAAACAACAAAAATATCAGTAACAATTTTATCATCCTGAGAGAATCTTCAAAGAAATAAAATTATGTGTCAAGTTATTTCATAAAAAGTGCAAATATTCTGTTCTTTATATCACAATGAAGAATTAGCAAATAATTCACTTTGACTTGGTAGATGTTTAATAAATAACATAAAAAATCAAATGTCATTTGATCCCTGAATTCCATTTGAAAAGTTATCAATCTCTTTAATAAATAGAATTCAATTTCAAATGTTATCAATGTTAGAGTGTATACAATATCCTGCAATAATTGATTTTCCATTGAAAAATAAGAATTGACTAAGAAGAAAACAGTTTAACAGCAATTTCTGCCAACTGAATAGAATAAAACTTAACTATGTTCCCTCCAGCTTTCTAATATTCATGTAGAGAAATTCTTTCTCTAATTGTAAATAGGATTACAACTGTAAAAGTAATGGCAATATAGTTCTATATGAATTATAGAGGGTTTTCATATGTATACCATCTGATTGGTGGTTATTTCAGTTAAAAGGAGTAAAATTTAACCCATTTCACTTGTGGTAATACCTTCGGTATTAATAAGGAGCACCAATACAGGACTCACACAAAAAAGTTATTTTGCCCATTTTTTTTCTCATTTTATCTTCACAGCAATCCAGTAAAATAGATAGGGTAAGCAAATCCCCATTTTCACAATAAAACCCCCATAGTTTTAGAAACCACATTTGGTGGCAGTTTGAAAAGCCAGGTCTCCTCATTCCTCATCTAAGTTATTTTGGTATTATAAAGGTTTTTTTAATTTTTAAGTTATACAGAATATCTAATTATAAACTTCTGGCTATTTTATAGCTAATATCTTAGATGTAAGTGCATAATCAGTATAAATAAATATATTGAATTACAATAAAACATCACATCAAGTCCACAAATATTTAGTCAGTAAGTGCCAAAGAGAATACTAAATTCTGGGCCACTTATATCAATTAGTTATAATTTCTGACATGATTACTCCTACTATGGAGTAGGAACATCATGAACAAATGCTCACAGAAGGCAAATAACATCATGGATCTGGGATCAGAGTGGGGCTGGTGGGTGTATAGATGGGAGGTGAGAATGGATAAAGATGAGTTTGTATAGCTGGAATGTGTTGTGGAAGGCTTACAGCTAAAATTTTATTTGGACTTAATTAATTTTCTAATATTAAGACATAAAAGGAAAGGTTTATAATAATTAGATCATTATTTTAAAAACATCTTGCCATTTGGAGAGGATGTATGCATTTCTCCTCCAACTTCAGCAGGTTAGTTTCAGTTTCTTTTGTGTTTTCTCTGTTTCTTGTACACACTTCTGTTATCCTCAAAACGTTATACTTTAATTTATTCAGTTATGTAATTGCCTCTATTTTGACAATGGAGACACTAGTGAATGACAATTTGCTGAATGAATGAATGGATAAAATCAGAGAGACTGGAAGCCCGGAGAATGGTTAAGATTTAAAAAAAATAAGACAGGAATTCAAAATTGCAATTGATTATTAATTCTTACATGAAATAAAATTTTCAGAAAATATTGTCATGATGAAAAAATAGGACTGCTGAGAATCAGTTCTTGGAATCAATATAGTACTTAAATTCATTTTTTCCACAGTTTATTAATGCAAACTGTCTAAGCACTCTAAAATATTGAGAGATTTTATTCACCTTTGTTCTCATAAATAAAGTGATATTGATACAGCCATAATTTTCTTAAATAAAGAAGTATTACAGAATGATTTTCCTTCATAAACATTAAAACTGTGGCTCTTGGCTGCCTTTTGTCCTACTGAGATGCAAATTACAAATGATAGAAATAAAAAAAAAAATTGAACTGCCACCTGTAGAACCACACAAATGCCGGGCATGGCGGCTTACACCTGGAGTCCCAGCACTTTGGGAGGCCAAGGTGGGCAGATCACCTGAGATCAGGAGTTCGAGACCAGCCTGACCAACATGGTGAAACCCCGCATCTACTAAAAATACAAAAAGTAGCCAGGCATGGTGGCCAGCGACTGTAATCCCAGCTACTCAGGAGGCTGAGGCAGGAGAATCACTTGAACCAGGGAGGCAGACAGTGCAGTGAGCTGAGATCGCGCCATTGCACTCCAGCCTGGGCGACAGAGCAAGATGCCGTCTCAGAAAAAACAAACAAACAAACAAACAAAAAACCCACAAATATACATTTATATGGTATATTTCCTACTAAAATATATGGATTTATTGTGTTAATTTAAAATAAGATGCAAGACTTAGATACAAAATACTCTGTTGGCTTGCTGTATTATGCAGGGATTTAAGTTTTTAAAAAATGGTGAAGGGATTTTGGCTTATAAATATGAATACCTAATAAATGAATGAACATATTGAGATCATTTTCATTAACTAAATTAAATACACATATTGTGTTGATACATATGTATATCTATTATACATATATATAACTATTTCTTAACACCTCCCTGTTCCCACCTTGGTCTTAACTTACATAGGTTCTTACCAACTCTCCTTGCTTCTACTCTTTACCTCTTTAAAACTATTCTTAATACAGCAGTAAGAGTGATCCTATTTAAACGTCATTCAGCTTATGTCAGGTCAATTGCGTCTCATCTCACATAAGTACACGTTAAAGTCCTTACAATGGCCTGCAAGATTTGACCCCTGCTACTTTTGGTATCCGCTCTTTCACGTGTTCACTCAGTTTCAGCCACGTTGGCTTCCTTTCTGTCTTGCTGTTCTTGGCACACAACAAGCATGCTCTTGCTCAGGATATTTGTGTCCTTGTCACTTCTCTGCCTATAATGCAAGACAACTCCCAGATCATTCTTTCCCCTCCTTGGTGGCTTTACTGAATTTTTGCCTACTTGCCAAAGCTTTCTCTTACCACCTCACCTCAAATTGCAACCACATCCTCCTACGTGCCATACCCACCCTCCTTGCTATATTTTTCTCCTTAGCGTTTATTATCGTCTAATATATGATACTTAATATATTATATGAGATATATTTAACATTTATATATGATATTAATATTTGTTATAATCTGTCTTAGCTATTAGAATGTAAGACCCATGCTTTCTTCACTGAAGCCCTCACATGTCCAAGAAGAGAAATTACTTTATACAATATGTACTAAAAAAAACTTTGAAAAAATGAATGAATAAATAATGGCATTCAGCAAACTCAAGTGCTGTGGCTGACAGTGACTACGATTTGGGGAATGAGTAGAGTGTAAAAGGAAACAAAAGTAGCTTAAGAGAAAAATAAAGGAATCTTATTTTCCTTCACTACTCTCAATGAAATTTTATACACACACACACACACACACACACACACACACACACACACACCCCTTTAATATGAATTTCTTGAGGACTGAAGTAAAAACCTGCATTCTTGTAGGCTATTGTTTCCACTTCGGCACTTATCATTGTATCTGGAATAGTACTCCATAACTATGCTGAACTATTAAAAATTAATTAAAATAAATGAGAACCTTAAAAGATCTGTATAGTTCCTGGACAGTGTCTTGCCCTCAGGAGCTTATAGTCTGCTCTTAGAAACTACCTGAAGGTTAGTTGGAATTCTTTCGAGTGGGGGAAAAATCTGTAAGCTCCATTTAGTCATGGTGTTGGTTCTAATGCAAGCAGAGTCAACCAATGTATTCTGCATTTCTTTATTTCTGTATTTTCTTTCAATGAAACTAAAAGAATACATATATCAAAATTAAAAGGAAGACAAACATCATTAATTTTAAAAAAAGAGTTTTGGTCCAGGTGCAGCGGCTCAGGCCTTTAATCCCAGAACTTTGGGAGGCTGATGCAGGAGGATCGTTTGAGCACAGAAGGTCAAGGCTAGCCTGGGCAACATGGCAACACTCCTGTCTCTACAAAAAATTTAAAAGAATTAGCATATGTGGTAGTGCATGCCTTTTTACTACTTACAATATTCTAAGCATGACATTATGTTTCCTATATCTTATTCCTAAATTTGATAACAATTTTGCCAACTATTATCCCAGTTATCCAGCTAAGAACACCTGGGTACTAAAAGTTTTAAAAAATCCAGGCAATAAGTACCAGATCTGAATTTAAATCCTGATCTAACTCTAAAAGCATGGCTGTCTACAAACCACTGGAGATACTAAAGCATTGGCTGGTGGAAGATCTGGTATGGATATTAAAAAGAGAGGTTAGCATCCTTGCTTCCAAAGTAACCACTCCAAGCTTACGAAAAAGTGCAGTCTATTCCAAGAAATATTGGTTAGACAAATCCGGAAATCTAACTGTAGGAACAATTGTTCCTTATGAAGCAATATCACTGAACACAGAAATACCTCAAAGTATGTCAACCTTGATGAAGGCAATCAAATTAGGATTTGGGGCATTGTACCACATAAAACAGGACATTATTTAGTTTCCTTCATGTCCCTATCACAAAGATTATAATGTAAGCATAATTCTCCTCTGATAAATTTCAAAATAAATGGATAAAGAAGAGAAATATGTTTCTTTGTACTGGCAATGTATCTAATCACTAGTATCGTGATGTGGTGTGATATCACTACATCTTGAAAATAATATATTAGAACCTATCAGCCCAGGGACCAGTAATTTGTATTTTTCTTCACAGAAGAGAGTTTCCTAAATATATATTAGAAAATCTTCATATCAACATGATATGTGGTCTGTGTCATGTGTACCTAACGCACCAGCTTTAAGGAATTTTGAGAAATCTCATGCTAATGACCAATCCGTACCTGGTAATCCCCCTGGAACAAGAACAAGGAAGCTCACTCATCTGTGTGCTGTGTTTCTTGATCTCCAACCTTGATCACTGCCATGCCATCTGTAACATATGCCAAAAAAGCATAAGCAGAAATAGAGACTTTCTTGCCTAGGAGCATTCTTCCTTATGTTATGCTGGAGTGCGTCCTCTGTCCTCTAGTAATGCTACTGGAATTAGCTCTTCTACCAAAGACTTTTTCATGACAAGGAATTCCAGAGGCCAACTTCTAAAATCAAAACCACCACTCCAAAAACAGCTAATTTCATCCTTACTTCAATCCCTGATTCTCAGCATTACATCCAACAGCATTTTCTTGCCAGAAACCCTGTCAGTTCATCTTTAAGAAGAAGAGCAAGCTAGCTGGACCAATTTCACTCACCTACTCTGAAACAACTAAAAACTAAGAATATAAAAGTATGCATGAACTATAATTCATGTCACAGAGGCATTTCCTCACAGAATACCTATGGACAAACAATGAAGTTTCTCTCATTTCATTACAAGTCTTATGGCCTTGGACGTGCTTACTTGCCATGTAGCTCTGGCTAAATCTATAAGCAAACATAGGATATCACTGGTTTTAGCTTTGTGCTCTTCCATGCTGTGTTACCACTGATTCATTAAGAATGTTCTTGAAGACACATTCAGATTTTAATGTTATATTTCTATCTTAGCTCCAAAGAGTTTTACAAAAATTTTCTAAATTTATCAATTATAATAATATAGATACAAGTTATCTTCAAAAGATTTTATTAAATTAACAAAGTTGAACAACTTATCAATATAAACAATTGTTTTAGGTTCATTGGATATATGATATTTAGTCCTTGTGGATTCATTGTTCTCTTACAAAAATTGCTGAAGTTTTAAAAGTATCACGATGGTAATGTATTTCACAATTATGTTATAACACAGACAACTAGGATGAAAATTAATTTGGAGAACTAGTTCAAAAAATCCAGTGATTAAATAAAGCTTAGAACCAATGATATGTATATAAAAGTTTAGATTTAGTCCATGATATTAACCAAGTAAAATTGATTTTATCTATATTTTCTACTCTACCTTTTCTGGAGATATAATATTGGCATAAATTGATAAAACCATATAATATTGTTAATAAGTTTAACAATTGCTATGGATAATTGTTTTAATGTCCTAACTCTTGTTATTGTATTAATTCAGAATACAATGACTAAGTCTCTAAGTAGAGCAAAAACCTGCATTGTGAACTTATTGAAGACTCAACTGGACATGATTATATGTCTAATTTTTTTCCAAATTAATCAGTCTCTTCAATGAAATTACTATCAAATCTCAACAGAGATTGTCATGAAAATTGAAAAACAGATTCCAGAATTTATATGCAAAACCAAAGGGTCAAGAATTGTTCCGAGAGCATCCTGACAAACGGCTCTAGGATGGATCCACCTACGAAATGCCAGGATTTAATATAAAGATGTTACAATTAAAACAGTGTGATATCGGTGTAGGGATAGAAAAATAGACCAGAACAGAGAACCTGGAAAAGATCTGTGCATGCCTTTTAAAACTTAATATATGACAGATGGGACTAGCAGATCAGTGTGAGTAATAATACACTATTCAAAAAATGGTGCACAGTAGTAGTAAAGAAAAATAAGAAAGCAATCCTATTTAAAACAGCTACAGTATAATGAAATACCTAAGAATAAATTTAACTAAATAAATGAAAGATCTTTACAATGGAAACTATAAAACATGAAATATCTTTTCATTCTTATGTGTCCTCTTCAATTTTTTCAATGGATAAAAAATAGAAAGGACACATAAAAAATGGAAAGATATTTCATGTTCATGGATTGAAAAAATTAATATTGTTAAATGTCCACACTATGCAAAATGATCTGCAGATTCAATGCAATCTCTATCAAAATATCAATCAATGTCATTCTTCACAGAAATACAAAAAAATTTCTAATAGTTGAGTGGAACCACAAAAGGCCCTGAATAGACAAAGCAATCTTAAGTGAAAAGAACAAAGCTGGAGGCATCACACTGCCTGGCTTCAAAATATACTACAATGGTATACTAACCAAAAGAGCATGGCATGGCATAAAAATAGACACATAGACTAATGGAACAGAATACAGAACCCAGAAATAAGTACATGCATTTACAGCCAACACAGTTTCAACAAAGGCACAAAGAATATACGCTGGCAAAAGGATAGTCTTTTTAAGAAATGGTGCTGACAAAACTGGATATTCATATGCAGAAGATTAAAATTAGAGCATTATCTCTTACATATCAAAATAAACTCTAAATGAACTAAAGACTTAAATTTAAGACCTGAGCTTATGAAACTACTAGAAGAAAAACATTAAAAGAATACTCCAGGACATTGGTATGGGCAAAAATGTTTTGAGTAAGACCTCAAAAGCACAAGCAACAAAAGCAAAATTTGACAAATGGGATTACGTCAACCTAAAAAGCTTCTGCATGGCAAAGGAAACAATCAACAAAGTGAAGAGACAACCTACAGAATGGGAGAAAATATTTGCAAACTATCCATCTGACAAGGGATGAATAGGTAGAATGTATAAGGAACTCAAACAACTTAATAGCAAAAAAAACCCCAAATAATTTGATTTAAAAAATGAGCAAAAGATCTGAATATACATTTCTCAAAAGAAGACATACAAATGGCCAACAGATACATTAAAATGCTCAATATCACTAGTCATCAGGGAAATCCAAATTAAAACCACAGTGAGATTTCACCTCACCCCATTAAAAATGGCTCTTTTCAAAATAGAGATGCTGGCAAGGAGATGAGAATAGCAGATGCTGGCAAAGACTTGAAGAAAGAGAAATGCTCATACACTGTTTGTGGCCATGTAAATTAGTCCAACCACTATAAAAAACAGTATGGAGATTCCTCAAAAAACCAAAAATAGAACTACCATACAATACACTGATCCCACTGCTAGGTATATATCAAAAGAAAGGAAATAAGTATATAGAAGAGATACCTGCACTCCCATGTCTATTACAGCACTATTCAAAATAGCCAAGAGATGGAATCAAACTGTGTTCATTAAGAGATGAATGAGTAAAAACTGTGGTATCAATACATAATAGAATATTATTCATTCATTGAAAGAATGAAATCATATTATTTGCAGCAACATAAGTGGAACTGGAGGACATTATGTTAAGTGAAATAAGCCAGACACAGAAAGACAAATATTACATGTTCTCACTCATATGTGGGAGCTAAATAAATTGATCTCATTAATATAGTAAATAAAATAGCCGTTACCTCATGTTGGAATGGGTGGTGTGGAGGGGGGAATGATGAGGGATTGTTTAATGAGACAAATGTACAGTTAGATAGGAATAACTTCTAGAGTTTGATAGCACAAAGGGTGACTATAGTTAGCAATAATTTATTGTATATTTCAAAGTAGCAAGAAGGAAAGATTTTAAGTGTTCCCAACACAAAGAAATAATAAACATTTGAGGTGATGGATATCCCAATTATCCAGATTTCATCATTACACATTATATGCATGCATGAAAATATCACATGTACTCTATAAATATGTACAACTATTATGTGCCAATAAAAAAAATGACCCAGAAGCATACAGCCCCTCAGGAGCTGAGCCACTCTAGAGATGGCTCAGGGATGATTGTTGAAAAAACAAGACAAAAGTCCTGTTAAAGTTTCTGAAATATAAAGCTTTAAAAAATGGTGCATAGGAAACTGATTATACATATTCAGAAGGAAAAAAAAACTAAAATATGAACTTTCTACTTTGGACCACAGATACATTAAAAACAACTTAATTCTTTGAGCTTAAGAACATTTCTGAAATGTAACATTTTACAGTTTTTAGAAGAAAAAAAGAATAATATATTTAAGACTTCAGGGCATGGAGAATTTCCTAAACAGTGCAACACATTTACAAAACTTAATTGAAACAAAATGACAAATTTGACTATTAAAACTTCAAATTTTACAAAAAATAAAGAGACAGAAAATAAAAATATAAGCCATACACTGGGAAAAGGTATTTATATCCTACATATTTGACAAAGGATTATATCCAGAATATATAAAGATGCCCTAAAATGGTTAAAAATACACAAACAATCCAATGAAAGAACAGGCAAAAAGACGAGTCAAATCTCAGATGAGAAAAATCCACAAGCTCACAAGGTTAATAAAATATGATCATACTCAGCACTACTGAAGGAAAAGTAAATGAAAGCAACAATGGGAAACCATTGCACAACAGAGTTGATAAAAGGAAATGTAAAGAAAGAGGAACAAGTATGTATAGAGATGAGAACACTAATTTGACCCTGACAAATGTAAAAACAGTATGAAACACTTGGGAGAGAAATTTGGAAAAAAAAACAAACTAGTTGAAGAAGCCACAGAACATTCTTCCACATTATTTGACAAGATTGATAGTCATTATAACACAGAAATTTAAGTTGTATTGTAGAATAAACTCCTACACATGGTCACAAGGAGACTACGTGAAAAACTAATTATAGCATTGTCTAAAGCGGTAAAAATAAAGCAAACCAAAACTATAATGTCCTAAATAACCAGGGAATGCTTAAATCAAACTGCAGCGGAGACATACAGTAACAGAATTCTACCCAGTAGTGAAAATAAAGGAACTAGAGTTACATGTACGTTTTGATTAATCTCCAAAACTTCAGGTGACTTAAAAGTGGCACAAAGACATGTGTGGCAAGATATTCTTTAAATAAAATTTTTCAAATAAGCAAAACGAATCTTATATAGTTGTGGATACATACATAACACTGCAAAGAAATGGAAGCAAAAGTATAACCCGAATTAAGTCTGATATTTTATCCTGGGATAGTAACAGAGGTTTGTGAGTTGAGGGGAGACTACAGGAAGCTTTTACTAATTTATAGAGGCCTATTTCTTTTTAAAATATGGAAGAAACATGGTAAAATTGTAAGACAATGAAACAGTATGATAGGTACATGGCTGTTTGCTATATTATTCTGTAAGTTTTTTTTTTTTTTTTTTTTTGTACATTCGAACCTTTTTAATGAAAATTACAGGTCATCGCCTGGTTAAGTGTTAAATAGCATGCATCAGACCATGAGAAAGCTGAGACACTCCATCCCCCATCCACACTCCCGTCATCCTCTTCCACTCTCATTAGAATCAATGAGATGTAAGGTGATGCACTGGGCATCTTAATAAGTGAAATAAGAAAAAAGTAGGAATAAGCTATGTGAGTCTTATACGGCAATTTTGCTGACTGGGGAAGAGGCTCAGTTTAAGGAAGGAACATCATGTCCAGTTTTAGGCATTTTAAACATCAAACCTTGCGCCTACTGTGTAATGCAGAAATTCGACTATTGAGTTGTTTCAATGAAAATTTACAAGACTGAGAGCAAAACACATTCACTATTAAGTGCAAATGAATCACAAACAGGCAGAAAACACTTCCACATAGTAATTGCTATTTTGAGTTGAGATTTTAACTTCTAATCTAAAACTCCTCTGTTTTGTGTCCTCACCCTTGCTCAACCACAGAATAAAGACAATATTTTGGATCTTCTGGACTAAAGAAGAACTGGCAGAGAAAAATCTCCTCATACTCAGTCACTGCACAGGAAGATGGTCCTGTAGTTCTAGATTGGGGGGGTGGTTTCTGTCAGTAACAACCCTGTCCTCCCATCCCAGAGATCTGAATTTAAATTTAAAGCAAAGTAACACTGAGGGAAAAAATAAACCTAAAGTAAATGTATGTAAATATATGAGCAGTTAAGTTCAAGGTTGTGAGAACATGTGCCCAGAGGTAACTTTGCATTTTGTATACTATTTTAAAAAGATAATCGAAAGGTTTAGAAATATTGATGCTGTCTTAAATGCTTAAATTTACATGATTAATTACAAATAGTAGTGTATAAACCGCACATATCGTTTTATTTGCTTCACACAATCCTGCGAGGAGTGACATCTTAATAAGTATCCTACTTTTGAAAACAAAGGTTTTTTTTTTTTAAATCACTTATTTCTTTATATATTGCTTGGATCTTTGCTACTGGCATTGTGCTGGACACAGTATAAAGGAAAAAAAACTGACAAGGTCAAGGTACACAATAGATGTGTGCACAAAGTGGTAAGGAACACAGTGCAGGGGCACAATCTCGGTTCACTGCAACCTCTGCCTCCTGGGCTCAAGTGATCACCTTGACTCCCAACGCAATGAGATTACAGGAGTGAGCCACTGTGACGGGCCTGAATCTGGTCTGTATCGGAGTCAAAAAGAAGTTTCCCTTCGTCATGAGATCTTGACAATTGTATTATGAATTTCCCAAATTTGGAGAGGGTTGAAACATTGATCTTAGGTGAACATATGCAGATAGTTATTTTTAAAGAATAAGCATGTAGTAAATTCAAAACTTCCTAAAATTGTAATCAGTAGGTTTTACCTAGTAAAACAGTCAAGAGAAAATACAGTTATTTATAGAGGAAGCATTTATTGTTTTAAGTCTATTAGGTAAGATGCTGGTTATATTGAACTTAAATATAAAAAGGTATATAATAATTAATCTAGGGTAAAGATTTAAAATGAAAGTTGTAAATATATATTCAAAGTCCATATATTCTAGTACACTTTTAGATGCTCAAACTAGTTCAACAAGAAATACCAATGACAAAGACCAAAATGAGAGACAACATTGTATACCATTGAATACTCCAACATTGCTGAACATCTCACAGCCTCAACACTGTTGGTCAAAAAATTGTTAAAATTGTAATCCTAAATCAAATAGCAAGAAATAGCACTTCAGAAACTTAGATTTGTAAATTCCCCAGATCTTTTGTCTTCATCTTTTTTACAGAACAAAGACTAATTTATGCAACTAAAATAAAGAATAATAGGTGGCAAAAGATTATTCTCTGTCCAGTATTTGTGGTAGGAATGTTTACTAAATGTTACTGGAAAATAAATGTTAAGATTTTGGGATATTATAATCCTTCAAGTACTTGATTCTCTGAGTTCTTTCAGGAAATCATTGTAGATTGATTGACAACTAAAAAATTGGTTCAGGACATTTTTAATAGTAAAGTTCTTGAACTGCATTTTTTTATTTTAGGAGATGGCACACATACCATTAGGAGTGTTTTAAAACCATTTTATTGAGTATAATCTAATGATTTTGCAATAGTAATTATTCCTAATTCTCTAAAACATAACATTCTCCTACATTATGTAACAAGGTAGACTAACTTGTTTAGAAACTAGATTTTTCAAAAAAAGATTGAATAAAAATCTTTTTTTCAATCAAATAACCAGAGCAGTCACTCAGCACCTTCAGAATAGTACTTGGCTTATGAACATCAGAAAACCTATATGATTGCTCAATATATTTTAAATGAATGCATCAAGACAACAAAAGCTAGAAGGAATTTGAAAATACTCCTGTTTTCCCAAAGCCAACATAGTCAGAGTCTATGCCACTGAGTGCTGCAAAAGTGTTAAAATGTTAGACTCTGATGTCTTAAAATCCTGTTATATGCTAGGTAGCCTGATTTGATCATTCCATAATGTACATATGCATTGAAACATCACATTGTAACTCATAAATCTATACAGGTATTATTGTCAATTAAAAATCAAAATAAAACTATAAAAATAAAAGCTATACCAAAATATTTTTAAAAGTCTGTGATAAGAGAAATGAACAAACTCAGAAAAGCAGGAGACCTAGCTTTTCCAAACAACAGCTTTGTAGATTAGGGTAGAAAAGAGTACACTCTAAGAATTCTATTGCCAACCAAGTTGTCATTCATGTTCAAATAAACTGTAAGATGATATTGAATCTGTAAGGGCACAGTCTATATAATTCTGTATTCAGAAATACAGAAAACAAAGATATATATCAAAGAGATGATCAATTTCTAAGTCTGCCTGGAAGTCATTAAACAGGTGGAAAAATCCAATTACATAAACACATCATCTATTTATTTACATATGTATAATTTTTCCTTAGGAAAGAATTAACTTTAAACTATGAAATGTTCAACACCCTTATTGCCTTCAACAAATACATTTAAAAAATCAATAATCATGAATTTTTTTAATTGGAAAAAAAACCTCCAGTGATATATAATTGGCATCATGATAATGCCTCACATCAGGCATAAAAATCAAGGTGGTATCTCAACCAATCTACTGCTTTGGAATTTTGGGATAATCCATAAGGGGTTGAGGATGAAGGATATAGTGTATAAATTAAACACAGAACTATAGACAAAAACAAGTATACACACACACACACACACACACACACACACACATACACCACACACACGTACCAGTAAATGTACTGGTCTAAACCAGGTGAATACTTGTGAATACCCATTTGAACTTGTAAACTTCTAGCTAGTTAATCTTTGGATATTAAAGGAATAAACCTTTATCATTGTCACCTGGTAGTGTAGAATACAGGTATAACCTTTTTGAGGGCGAGAAAAGATATGATGTACCATATGTTAACATTATTCCCCAAAATATTTAATGTTCAGAACCAGTATTTAAATATTGACAGTCAAGACAGTATCGTGAATCTAATAGAAATATTAACAGGTAGTTTATTAAAGAGCTATGTTGTAAGAGTAAATACAGCTGGAAATCATAAATAACAAATTATGGATTTGGATTATACAAGAACTGGACTTCAATCAGAGGATTTATACTCATAGAAAGGCCTCACTTAACACCTTGGCAAAATTTTGAGAGAACGAATAAATAACATAATTAATCAAAATAAAATCTTAAATCATATGCATACAGTTTTTAATGATTTCTCACTTAAACCAATTAAATTGCAAAAATATTAGTTCCGAAATAAAATAAGAAGGATTTAGTAGCAGTCTTAGAGCTTGTAAAATCACAAATACAATTTTAGATTTACTTTTGTTTTCTCTCTTGAGATGGTATCATATCTATTTTTAAAATTAAACTTATGAACTTAATAAAGGCCACCTAGACTACAAAGTGCAGAGAGCATCACTTCCTCATAGAATATACTGCGTTGATATTGTCTTTAGAATCATGCTGATTTGTAGTATTTGTTGATTTTCATGGTGTTAATCCAAAAAAGTACACGGTATTTTATTTATAAATTATTCAAGTATTTTTGCCAAATGATACTAGACACAGTTGTTATTGCAAATGTTATTTTAAAATAAAAATAGCATGTTCATTTTTCTTCTAGGGTATACTGTGGAAAGTGATCCTATCACTCTCATCCTTAAAAATGGGTCTTAATTTATATATCCTTATTAGACTGTAACACCAAAAATTATCATTGGGCGTGAAAGGGTTATAGTCATAGAAAACGCATATACGCCAAGTACTTTGCTTGTAACTGTTATTTCTTTATTCATATAGTCTTTCCTTTCATTGAGCTATCTGGCAAGCTCTCCTAACTTCTCCTCTTTTATGAATGCCATTAGAATATTTTTAATAATGTGCATTTATTTATTTATGAGACAGAGTCTCACTCTTGTTGTCCAGGCTGGAGTACAGTGGCATGATCTTGGCTTACTGCAACCTCCGCCTCCCACGTTCAAGCCATTCTCGTGCCTCAGCCTCCCGAATAGCTGGGATTACAGGCTCCCGCCACCACATCCGGGTAATTTTTGTATTTTGTTTTTTAGTAGAGACAGGGTTTCTCCATGTTGGCCAGGCTAGTCTTGAGCTGCTGGCCTCAAGAGATCTGCCCGCCTTGGCCTTCCAAAGTGCCTCCCAAAGTGGGATTACAGGTGTGAGCCACCAAGCCCAGCCAACAATATGCTTTTAGTTATTTATTTGGTGATGTGCTGGTAAGCTGGCATTCTGAAAGCAAATAATTAAGCAAGCAAGCAAACAAAAAGGTTTGAGTTATAGCATTTGCCTATTTCCACATTGTAAATGCTGCCACTATAGCCAATTCAAGCTATCATCATGATGTTACTGAATTTGAAGTTGGGAAGAGATTTGTACAGAATATCTTATTGATGTGGAGCAACCTGGCTCCAGCATAACATTGTGATGAATAAATACTGCTTCTAATTTGTGTTTATTCTAATAGTCTATCAAAATGTCCAGGGACATTTTCTGGTAGGTTCCAATATATTTAATTCGAGAAAATCACAGTGAGTCATTTTTAGCATGATTAAAGTTTTTAAGCAACAGCAGACAAAATTTTATTAAACTATGAAATGACAGAAAAACATTTATTTCAAATAATATTATATTTAGAGTAAAAATAAAAAGGTTGCATTTACTTTGTGACAATGTTCATTATAAAAATATCATCAAAACCTTGCAAACTATATTTATGTTAGAGAATCTGGAGAATGGAAATGACCATACTATCTGATTGACAATTGAAAATTTTCATTATGTATTTTGAGAATCTAGGTCTAATATTTTACTGAATGAAAATGATTAAGTACATATTTTATGGCCCATTATCTCCTACTCTAATGATCATTACTTTAAAACACTTTTGATGTAATGAGGCGATTAGTATCTAAAAATAGACCACACCTAGTACAGGGGTTAGCAAATGTTTTCTGTAAAGGGCCAGGAGTAAATAGTTTAGATGCTGCAGACCATACATTCTCTGTCATGAATGCAGTTCTGCTATTGTTTTGGTAAAGCACCCAGGCTTGATATGTAAATTAATGATCA
Organism: Homo sapiens; assembly: GCF_000001405.40. Classification (NCBI taxonomy): domain Eukaryota; kingdom Metazoa; phylum Chordata; class Mammalia; order Primates; family Hominidae; genus Homo; species Homo sapiens. Next base: position 82,878,872 of record NC_000007.14, read on the forward strand.
TGACTGTGTTCCAATAAAACAGTATTTACAGAAGCAGGCAGCAGATGGATAAAGCCTGTGGGCCATCCATAGTTTGCTTACCCAACCTTAGTGTGTACTGGATCATTTGATTTTTTTTGTAGCTCTAATTTCAATATAACTTTTCTTGGTGTTTGTGAAACATTATCACAGATAACTAAAGTGTTTTTTAATAAAATTGCCCCAGTCAGTAAAAAAGTTTTGACTAGTGTTTCTTAAACAAGATACTTCTGTAGCCAACTGCCAAAAGGACAATGCAATTGAAAATAAAATGAATATATTTGTGGACATGTTTTCTTTCATATTACTATACCAAAATTTCACAACTAACCATAAGGAGAGAGGTTTACCTACACAGAGAAGGATGAGAACATTTGCATATTAAATTAAAATGTATTTAATATGAGTGCATTCATTTTATTTTACTGTAAAATTCCTTATTCTTACCTTCCATAAGCTTCCCCGTCTGTTCCGCACTTCCCCCAGGAAGAATCTTGGCAATATAGGCTCCAATTTCTCCACTATGTCCCGGGATTTCTTTACCACCCACAATTCTAATTCCTAATCCATTACCTGTATTAAACAATTAGCAAATTATTAGTACTAATTTAAGAAGGGACAATAGTTATCACAAGTTACAGAGAGCACAAAAAGTAGGTCTGGTATCCAGAAGCTAAATATAACATGAATATTGGAAATGAACACCAAAACCAAAGTATGTTATTCTGATTTTGATAATATAAAATAGGATTTTCTGAGATCTTGGTAGACTCTCCAATGATTGACCTGATATTAACAAGTAATTTTTCTAATTCAGCCATATTCAGTAATATACCCAGGACTTGCCAATTTTTGACTAGGTATTTTGTAAAAATTTTATGAGAGGATGTTCCCAGAGCATACAATTCACTTATGAGACTAAGGAACATTTTACTTATAGAAGAGCAGTAATGACTATTCCAAATTGAGAAGACACAATCCAATCATACATACAATTGTAATTTATAAAGTGAAAACATGATCATAATTTATAAATTATTTATTTTTCAGCCTTAATTAACCAACTAATATTGTTTGTGTATTAACCTGACACTTTCTACAAGACACGATAAAATTATTCTTGACTGATGAACATCTTAGTAAACTGTTTCTTACTTTGCAGTACAGGTTCTTCTGGAATTAGCCACATGAAAAGACCAGGGTGAATAATATTATTATGAGAAACCTAATTGAGATAAATATAAGTGTTTATATTTTTAGTTTCTGTGTTTTTTAAAAAATAGCTAAAAATTAGCAAGTATATAGAGCATGAAACATACCTAAACATGGAAAAACTACAGTGAATGTACTGTACTGTAATCTTATGGGACATTGTTGCATATATGGCTCATCACTGACCAAAACATTATGTGGCACATGAGTACACTTTAATGCATAGTGGTTTTAAGACCATTATTTTGAAAGGCAAGAAACAAACACATATTAATCATGACAAATAATGAAATATTTGAATAGCTCTATTCTTTTTATCTTTTGTAGAGACAAGGTCTCACTATGTTGTCCAAGCTGGTCTCAAACTCCTAAGCTGAAGCAATCCTCCTGCCTCGGCCTCTCACAGTGCTGGAATTACAGGCTTGAACTCTTTTCTTTTAAAGCAGTGGCTCTCAAATGGGGGTGACTTTTCCTCCCAGGGTATATTGGTCCATGTCTAGAAACATTTTTGGTTGTCACCGTGGAACGATGCTACTGGCATTTAGTGGATAGAGGCCAGGGATGTTGCTAAACATCCTACAATGCACAGGGTATCTTCCTAGGATTTTCCAGGCCAAAATGTCAACAGAGCCAAGGTTGAAAACCCCTGTTTTAATGAAAGCAATGCATGTTAATTATTTTAAACCTAATGTGACTATTGGGCAATCTTGAATTTTTAAGCTATAAAAATTAGAAAGATTGACATTGTTGTAAAACTAAAACAAGAAAATCCTTTGGCAGAATTCCTTCTATAGTAACAAATGGGTTACAAACATGGGAACAGATCCTAAATAACACCAATACTTTAGACACATATTTTGGGGCTTTCCTTCTATTTGAATATCTTTAAAAATAGTTTTTCTTTTCCCAGCAAGTCCATATCAGAACTGAGAATCCACAAATAGACTTAAGATTGCTATAACTTATAGAGGTATGGCTAAAAGTGTAGTTGCAGGCTGAGTGTGGTGGCTCATGCCTGTAATCCCAGCACTTTGGGAGGCCAAGGTGGGAGGATTGCTTGAGGCCAGGAGTTCAAGACCAGCCTTGCCAACATAGGAGACAGAAACAGAAAACAAACAAAAAAGTGTAGTTGTGGAACTTCAAAATCTATTCATTGGCATGAAGGACTTACAAAAATTGGTTATAGTTTCATTCTGCAAATGACAGTGTCTTGAAGGTGAAGTAGTTGGGTCCTTAGAGTCATTTGATTTCTAGTAGCTGAGCACCTTCTAAAACCCTCTGGTAAAGGATCAGTGATGAGAAACTGTAATTATAACCATCTCAATAAAGTAGCACAGGCACAATAATTATTTAATTTTGTAATGTATAGTCTCACAATAGTGACTTCAAAATGCTTTTGAAATATACTTCATAAGCCTCATGTCTTTGGTAAATAGAATAATACAGTCATGACAATCCTGTGAGAAATGAGACTATATACATAGAAACAATTTCAGTCATATAGTTAATTTTCAACAATTACTGTTCCTCTTGTTGACATTGCTGCTATTGTTTTTGTTTTGAGACAAAATTTCACTCTGTTGCCCTTGCTGGAGTGCAATGGTGTGATCATAGCTCACTGCAGCCTCAAACTCATGGGCTCAGGGATCCTCCCACCTTAGCCTCCTGAGTAGCTGGGACTACTACATGCCACCATGCCCACCTAATTTTTTTTTATTTTTAGTAGACACCCAGTCTGGCTATATTGCCCAGGCTGGTTTCAACCTCCTAGGCTCAAGTGACCCTTTTGCCTCAGCCTTCCAAAAGTTCTGGGATTACAGGTATGAGCCACTGTGCCCAGCTGCTATTGTTTCTCATGTAGACAATTAAGTTGCATAAGAAGATCAAGAAATTTTTGAAGAATAGAACGTTAGAAAATAAATAGACCCAGGAAAAATAACATTTGTTTGTTTATTTTATAGTAGCTGCTTCTACCCTAATTTGAATGTCGTGAAAAGAAATTGAATTTATATAATTTTAAAGAATTGAATCTGGATATTTTGATTTCACATTTCTATAGTTGTACTGTAATGTTTTATATTTCAAATATAGATAAAATGAATAAAAATATTTCTATAAAAATCTAACACCACTCCTCAAATCTAGAAAGCAGAATACCAATAGAATTTTTTGTAAACTCAAGAAGCAACATTAATTTTGAACTGAAATTCTTAGAAGTAAATGACCCTTGACAAGTGATGTGTATAGTATCATTGTTTTTCAACTTTTGACAAATTTTTATCAAGATAAGGTCATCTCTCTGCTTTTGTTTCATCTCAAAACATTGATGAAATGCTTCTTCAGATGCCATGAAAATGGTCTTGTTCTTGTGTTCACAGTATGACAGCATACAGAGACATGTAAACCAATAGTTACTCCAGATAACATAAGTGCTTTACTAAAAAAGAAAGTCATAAGTTATGGTAATTTCACAATACATAAGCATATCTGTGGTTAAGAAAGTGTTATAGAGAAGTTTAAAATTTAGAAAACCTTCAAAGGTTGGGATATTTATAGAAAAGAGAAATTCAATGATAAAAGTGGCAAAACCATTAAGAAAATGCATTACCTCTACTAACCTGAGAATTACAATTTAAGTCTCTATGTACATTATAAGTATTTGATAAATATGCTACTTTGGAGTCACTTTAAAAATAAGCTATGCACAACACAAACATGAGCATACTAAGGAAAAATCTTTACATTTGCATTTAAATTTACAGATTACATCTAATTTTATGTGTTTATTAATCTGCTACAATGAAAGCTCTGGTATTTTAAAGTATCACAAAGAATGTTTTATTTTCAACATTAAAATATATACTAAAATATTATGAGGTTATAATTAGAACATTACATTTGGATAAAATTAAAATACTTGTTTAATTTCAATACCCTCATATCCTGTATCTAAGCATCAACGGAAAGCAAAATTGGTATTAATGAACATACTGTATCTTATGAATAGTTTAAATCAACTGTGTTGATTTTTTATAATAAAGTTATCCTAGAATAAAAATATATTGCGTAGTTCAGTCATGTCATTGGTTGGGCTAAAGAAGAAAACAGATTATACAAATAATAATGCCTATAAAATACCAAGAATAATAGAAAAGTCCCCAAAGGATAGTTCATTAAATTTATTTTTATGTAGTTTACACATTACTTACACTCTTGAGTAAGGCTGTGAGAATTTAATTTTATATTATTTCACTGACTTATCTCTGTGTTACAAATTATACATAAAAGTGTTTAAGAAAGTAAACCAAATTATATTAAAAATTCAGTTATTTCCCTTTTTGTCCTATCAAATGAAACAGTTTGTTCATTAATTCTCAAACATGAAGACCTAAAGAATTTTCACTATTTATCCAATTATTGGTCAGTATTTAAAAAAAAATTCCTATAAACACAACAATGTACATCAATCACCTTAATAACAATCCATATTTTACAGTTTTCAGCAACATCAAAACAGAAACAGCACACTCATGCCAAGTTTAATCGAACTCTAATCCTGAGTATTCCAATAATAAATTCACTTATTCCTATTAGCTTTTTCTTATCCAGCCAATTGCTCCAGGCATGAAAATTGCTGTTCAGCATCCTTTTGTTTCTAGTTTTATTTTTTATTTTTTAATTTATTTTGAGATGGACTCTCGCTCTGTTCCCCAAGCTGGAGTGCAGTGGTGCGATCTTGGCCCACTGCAACCTCCGCCTCCAGGCTCAAGCTATTCTCCTGCCTCGGCCTCCCTAGTAGCTGGGATTACAGGCTCCTGCCACCACGCCCAGCTAATTTTGTGTACTTTTGGTAGACAGGGGTTTTTGCCATGTTGGCCAGGCTGGTCTCAAATTCCTGACCTCAGATGATGCCTGCCTTGGCCTCCCAAAGTTCTGGAATTACAGGCGTGAGCCACCGCGCCTGGACTTTTTCTGGTTTTAAATATATATCCTTTATGTACATGAAAAATTTGAAGAGAACAATTCATCTCACATTTCCATGAACTTGCATTCACACCTCTTTTCTAATGTAATCTAAATAATATTAATATTAAAATGTTATGTACAGTTCAAAGAATGTACAAAAGCCTGTCCATATTCACAGTATATTGCATGAGATGAGTCCAAGATGGCCTGCCATATGACTGAAATGACCATTGGCATGGGAAATAAGGAAGACGAGTAAAAAAATACACAAAAATGACACTGGTATTCTGGCTTTGTGGAACACACTTTTCAAATGACAGATGATGCATGCTGTTAAAGTAATTTTACTCAAAGCACATAGGATTTTCTCCTCTTTATAGACTTGGAATAATTCCTACCAAGAAAATTTGTCAGGACTGCCACATTCACAAATGCATTCTTCATTCATGTAATGACATAAAGATTTTCTTTTTTCTTCATTTTAGCTTATATAAGACAATTGCAAAATTAGAAGCATAAAGACTAAATCTGAAGGGTTTGCCGGATACTTCTATAAAAGGCAATGAAAAGGAAATTTATTTCATTTAGCAGTACTTAGGGTCCAAAACAAAATGATTATTTGATATGAAACTGGATGTCACAAAATTGGAAAATAGGGTCACTTTATAGGTTTGGCCTTGATACTAAATTGATGGCAGGCCAGGACGTGGGGTGAGGTCATTCACTATGGTGTTAAAGAAAATTCTTTTTTTTTTTGAGAAACACTTATGAAACTCTACGATGATGGAAATAAAATGGTGTAAACTTACATTAGTGTAAAGCTATGATGTGCTTGATAAAATAAATGTCAGTTTTCCTTATATAAAATGTAAGTAGGAAGAAAAATACTATTCTAATTCAAAATTAAATATAGTGTCTTTTGTTGGATTTCTTGACTTAATATGGGATTGTGGCAGAAATACTCTATCATGATTTCCAATGAGCCACTTCCTGGTATATTCCCTTCCGTTTGAGTGAAGGCAGAACTTGTGACTTGCTTCTTATCAATAAGATCTGGCAAAGGTGATGGATAGCCACTACCATAATTATTTTAGATTGGATTCCATCTTAAGAGGTTAGAGTGAGAGATTTACTCCTGGCCTTCAAGAAGTAAGCTGTCACATGTTAGTGGACCTCACAGAAATAAACTGAGAGAGACCTCTTGGGGCTCAGTTGTCCCTGGCTGATAGCAAGAGTATGGGGAATTCAGTTCCACACCTACAAGAGACTGAATCCTACCAACAACCACATGAGTTTGGAAGAGGTCTCCCAAGCTCCAGAAAGGGATACAGCACAACTAACATAGATTATAGTTTGTAAGTTCATGATCAGGGAACCCAGTTAAGCCATGCCTGGATTATTGACCCATGAGAATGACAAGATAGTGAATATGTGTTGTTTTAACTCATTAAATTTGTTATGCAGTGACAGAAAACTAATACAAGGATGAAAATCATACTCAGAAATTTGTTGTGCACACAACATATGTAGACATTATTTTGGTAGAAAAATGTGCAAGACATTTGTGTTATAGTAGATACAGCAATGATTGAGCAGTGATAGAGGGTAGGGATGAAGGGAAATGGGCTGGGTAAAATAATATATGCATATTGTATTCTATTCTTAGAAAATGCCTTTAAAATTACATTATCTCATTGGATTTTAAAATAAAAGAGCAAATGGAAAAAAAAAAAAGCCCTGCATTTTGCATGTGAGGAAAATGAGGCTTTGAGAGGTTAAACACTCCAGGCAACGCAGCTAATATAAGGGAAAGCAAGAGTGAAGCCCATATTCTTTCTCCAAAGAAGTGACTTGGCAGTGAGTCTCCTGTCTGGTTTATGCCAGTTCACTGGGTTTAGAATCAGAAGGTATGGGTTTGAGGGTAGCACACTCCAGTCCCTCCTTTCCCCATTCAGTTTTAGAGAAGAGTGATGGGAGAAGTTGCAACCAAATAATAAAAGAGAAACTACCAAGATATGAAAAAAGGTGTTGGAAGCCAGCATTTCTCAGTCAAGACCAAGGAGAGAAAATGCTTTTGGCTTAGGCAGCCCACAAGTTATAATGCATGGTTCAATCTGTAGCCACAACTAATTAGTTAGGAAACATTATATTTGTTTTGTCAGTATAATCTCCATTTCTCTATTACTGCATACAGTTTTATGTATGTTTATATCTATCTTTTTCAAACATTATAAAGATAAGATTATTGCATCTTTTAATATTATAGCTTTTAGCATTATAATCCAAATATGAATTGCATATATATCTGTTAAATGAATAAGCAATTGGCTTAATATTTCTATATCTTGGTATGCATATCTATATAGAACAAAGTGCCTTATATGCCTGATTATGTAATAATTATTATACTAACCACTATTTTGGAGGGAGTTGAAAATGGATTTAGAGAGAAAAGTTCTATATTTGCTGAGTCATTTTAGGTATATAAATGAAATCCAGATGCTAGATTATTTTTACACTACAGGCTGAACCTGTTCTCATCAAAATCAATTTGCCTTCGGTGAAGGAGGTATTCAATACAATTCAACAGCTTCTACTTTCCTATATATATCAGGGGCTATTTTTTCATTGAAGAGTTATTTAGTACAGTTATTTTTGGTTATTTTCATTACTCTATTAAAAATAATTACTACTATCTGGAAGCGACAAAAATGTATTTCATGGTGTTAATAACTGGGCTAACAAGATTCAAACATCCCATTGAAATTATGCTTTAAGCAAAAAGTGAGCTGCTTTTATTTATTTTCATCTAATTTTCTATTATATAGGATGTATTGATCTTTTGTCAAAACATCTCAAAACACATGACTTTGAACAGATGGATTTTATTTGATTTTTGTTTTTGTGCCAATATTATTTTATGTTTAGTGTATTTGATTTTTCTCAATCTCTTCAGTATTGTCTTCAGGGATGGAAGAAAAGAGAAAGTAACACTTGCAAAGTTTCTCCTATGTGTCTGACACTATCCCGTAGCTTTTTTTGCGTTGCCTTTCTTTAACCACCTCCACAACATTTTGAGTTACGTACTATTCATACCATTTTTACAACAAAGCAGCTGAGACTGCTAAGGAGGGTTAGAAACTTGCTGTAGGATGTCCAGCATACAAAAAAGCTGAGAACTCATCGTTTTTCTCTTGACTTTCACATCCTTGTTCTTCCTACCTTTGATCATCACTCTAATTGTCAAGAAAATATTCTAGAAAATCAATATAAATCCTTACTCCTTTATTGAATCCCATTTCCCCTTGCTTATTTTTCTACTGCCAGTTCACATACATTTTACATTTGTATGCTTATGTTTCACATTAATATTACCATCTATCCTCCTATCCTTGAATATTGTGAATGTCTTCACTCTCATGGAATCAATTATTCATTCCTTTAATTTTGTTTTATTAAGAGTGGATAAGAAAATGTGCTAAGCTACCTCCAGCTGGAAGCAAAGCCTATAATGTCACTTCCTTAGCAGGAACACAATAACCAAGCAATCTGTCAGGAGAAATGATAATGTTTCTGTGGAACTCACCCTGAGAATAAAAACTTCCTTTGTTACTGAGTAAATAAATCCACATTTTCACCAGAATTTACCAGGAAGAAATCGTGATTTCAGAAGAGATTCAATCTGAGCTTTACTCTACTTCCATAGCTTTATGCTCAATATATTCCTAAGCAAGGCTTACAATGAAAAAGCGAACACTTTGGGAGGCCAAGGCGGGCTAATCACGAGGTCAAGAGTTCAAGACCAGCCTGGCCAAGATGGTGAAACCCTGTCTCTACTAAAAAGCTACAAAAATTAGCCAGTCGTGGTGGCAGGCACCTGTAATCCCACTTATTCGGGAGGCTGAGGCAGGAGAATCACTTGAACCTGGGTGGCAGAGGTTGCAGTCAGCTGAGATTGCGCCACTGCACTCCAGCCTGGGTGACAGAGTAAGGCTCCACCTCAAAACAAAAAAAAAAAGAAAGAAAGAAAATGAATACTATGTAATTGCACTGTCAAAATAATAAAATAGAAAAAGCCATCTTATATGAGAAAGGAGAAATTCAGTGTTAAGACCCACTTGTAGGATCTGTTTTGTTCCACGGATATTCCAGCAGTTAGGATGGAACACACTTGTACTGAGGGTGACAGTTTTACTTTCTTTTGGTCTTCCACGAGAAGCAGAAGAGATGGCATAATTGTTTTAACTCTATTTTAAGAGTTGGCTGACGTGAAAAAAATTAGTTTTCTAATAAAATGTTCATATAATTGATATTGGAGAAATGTTAAGTGACTCTTAGCCATAACTTATCCAAATCACATGGAGTAGCTCACCATATTTTGCCTCAGTACCTCTTTATTTAATATATCACATTTGAGAACAGCAGTATACTCTCAAGCAAAGGTGATCCAACCTATTTATTCAAACTTCTGTGTATCTTATTCATTCATTATGATTAAGCTTCCTTCAGAATTCAACTTTGAAGCAAACAAAACAAATCTTTTTAAAAAAAAGACTTAATAAACGAAGCTATATTTTCAATGATTTCAAGATGCCAATCTTCCCTATCAAATTAAACTTAGACTATTTATTTGTCTACTGGGCCCAACATATTCTGGCCCTAGCTTTGTATATACTCTGGTCCCTTTTATGTACTCTGTGTTGCAGCAAAACAAAACAAACAAAATAAAAATAATCTATTATCCTGCATGTTAAGTAGATAAGTCACTGAAAGGAAAGAAACAGAGCTAATTGTGATCTAAAGGCTATAGTTAAGACTCAATATTAGATGCTGCGTAATTTTCTGGTAAAATCAGGAGGGTCGAACCACAAGTTCCCCCCGCCCCCTGCCCCACCCCCGCCAACTCTGCTCTGATGTATCAGGTCCCCTTGCCAAACAATCCTCTTTATCAAGGGGGTGAGGGGTTTCTGTTACCTGCCAGTCTGAGGAACTATTCAGCGGAGCCAAACAAGTCTTCCTGTAGGACCTAGGGGCGCTCCAACCTTTTGATACTAAAAACCCAGCCTTGCACAGCCTTTGGTTGTTCAGTGTTCCCCAGCACAACCCCCGTGTGGCTCTGTGTCATGTGTGGTGTCCTGTTCCCCCAAACTTTGAGCATATGTGACTAATAAGCTGCTGTTGATGTCATCTGTCCAGTGTCAGGTGCAATATGCTTAGCCCTCGCCATAACCCCAGGACAGGCAGGAATCTCTCCCTCACCACCAGGATGCTTAGGAGACAATTAAATTATAAAATATTGGACAAAATATCAACCTGATAATTAATCAAAGAAATAATACTTAGAGCAACATGATATAAAATTTGGCTTCTGAACTAAGTTACAATATCTTTCCCTGAAAATTATATGATTTAAAATTTCCATAGTGAAAAATGAATGAAAAACAATTTCTTAGTTTGGGAGTGCAAAGTAGCAGAACTTTTCTGATAAGCAATTTGAGAAGATGTTTAAGGAATGTCCAAAATATCCTTTTCCTTTTACTCACTAATTTTACTTCTGTAAATATATTGTAAGGGAATAATAAACATTAAGGCAGCATTTTTTTCATTGCAGCATTGTTTATAATAATGGAAAGGGGAAAACGACATAAATGCCAATCAATTAGAAAGTGGTTGAAGTAAATAATTAAACGTCTGTACAATGTAATAAGAACCAGTCATTACATTTATATTTTTGAAGAGCTTTTGATGTAAAAGGAAAATGTATTTATTGGGCAATTTATACCATATTAAAGATATGTATCTGAACTATATTACAATGTACTTTCAACTTTTAGTGTGTGTGCACATGTGTGTAAAAAACGCAAGAAGTAAAGGAAAAAATAGAAATTGTAAAATTATGGCTTCTATTTTTAGCTTTATAATTGTTACCACTACCATATTTTACAGGAAATATTTTACATATTACAATATATTATATTATTATATATACATACATGCAAATATATACATTTATAAGTATACATACAAGAAAAAGGTTGAGAATGATACATGCATTTATCCATTTAGCTACTACAAGCTGAGAGCGAGGTGGGCATTTGCCTTTGAGATCTCTAGCTATAAAGGAAAGCAGAGTAACAAAAATATTCATGAGAAAATGGGTAAATACGTGTTCTCTATATTCCATTGGTAAAATTATTTGAACAAAGAGAAGCATTGCAAAAATTTGTACACGTAAATATATGTACACATAGTTTGTGAAACATTTTAATTTTCAATATATAGTTTCATGTGTTCATTGTTTCATGTACATTAGTTCCACTTCAAGTATTTTGTAAGTTCTTTAAGCAAGGACTGTACCACAGACTTTTCCCATACCTATCTCATATCTAGTATAAGGCTGATTCCATATTCAATATTACATATCTTCTTTTTTATAGTAGGAGATAGCCCTTATTTGTTGTGACTCTTCCTTCTGTTAGTCCACATTATTTAAAATAGATTTAACGTTATAGAAGGTGGACAAATTGTGTTTATAGTATTTGTAATTATTAAGGTAGAAGATGAGAATTTTGTTGTAGTTGCTTTTTTAAAACTAATCCGCTAATCACAATATTATATCTTTGAGAACTATCAATAGGATATATAGAACTATCCTTACCATGCTTCATCTAGAGTCTGAATATAAATCTCTGAATAACTTCTATTTTAGGCTTGTAGATTTTCATTATAAACACTTATAATCAAGGAAAAAAGAGGAGAATATTTGTATTTGGAAGAAACAGTTATACTTTCAACTTATTTCAGAAGAAAATAGAAAACCTGTAAGTACAAAGAAAATAATATGTTTATTTTTATATTTTATGTCCCCTAAATATTTATGATTATCATTATTTTCTTTGGATTTTTGCATATATGATTTATTTGGTTGCCTAGTGGGACTAATAAATGTATGCAAATAAGACCATTATTACAAATGTAATACATTTAATTCAAAAAATCTTCTCCTATATTTGACAGAGGGCTTATTGCTGTGTTTATTTGTATGTATGCATATATGTATCTTCCCTGCAAAATGAATACATAATCAACTCTATGTTTTCACATATTGCCAGTGTTGGAAATTCCACTGATAAATACAAGAAAATGGAAAGTCTGATTAGCTATTTTTGTCTTTTTTAAAAGCTGTTCTTAATCACTTCTGCTCAGATTTTTAAAATTTTAGGTAGAAAAACTTTACCACTGAGTAGCAATGAAGGCAAGGAGAGGTAAGAATTCTGTTGGTGTATAAGAATGCTTGTGATTTTTGCACACTGATTTTGTATCCTGAGACTTTTCTGAAGTTGCTTATCAGCTTAAGGAGATTTTGGGCTGAGATGATGGGGTTTTCTAGATATACAACCATGTCATCTGCAAAAAGGGACAATTTGACTTCCTCTTTTCCTAATTGAATACCCTTTATTTCCTTCTCCTGCCTGATTGTCCTAGCCAGAACTTCCAACACTATGTTGAATAGGAGTGGTGACAGAGGGCATCCCTGTCTTCTGCCAGTTTTCAAAGGGAATGCTTCCAGTTTTTGCCCATTCAGTATGATATTGGCTGTGGGTTTGTCATAGATAGCTCTTATTATTTTGAGATACGTCCCATCAATACCTAATTTATTGAGAGTTTTTATCATGAAGCGCTGTTGAATTTTGTCAAAGGCCTTTTGTGCATCTATTGAGATAATCATGTGGTTTTTGTCGTTGGTTCTGTTCATATGCTGGATTACATTTACCTAGGAATCCAACTCACAAGGGATGTGAAGGACCTCTTCAAGAAGAACTACAAACTACTGCTCAATGAAATAAAAGAGGATACAAACAAATGGAAGAACATTCCATGATTCCATGCTCATGGGTAGGAAGAATCAATATTGTGAAAATGGCCACACTGCCCAAGGTAATTTATAGATTCAGTGCCATCCCCATTAAGCTTCCAATGACTTTCTTCACATAATCGGAAAAAACTACTTTAAAGTTCATATGGAACCAAAAAAGAGCCCGCATAGCCAAGTCAATCCTAAGCCAAAAGAACAAAGCTGGAGGCATCACACCTCCTGACTTCAAACTATACTACAAGGCTACAGTAACCAAAACAACATGGTACTGGTACCAAAACAGAGATATAGATCAATGTAACAGGACAGAGCCCTCAGAAATAATGCCACATATCTACAACTATCTGATCTTTGACAAACCTGACAAAAACAAGAAATGGGGAAAGGATTCCCTATTTAATAAATAGTGCTGGGAAAACTGGCTAGCCATATGTAGAAAGCTGAAACTGGATCCCTTCCTTACACCTTATACAAAAATTAATTCAAGATGGATTAAAGACGTGCATGTTAGACCTAAAACCATAATAATCCCAGCAGAAAACCTAGGCATTACCATTCAGGACATAGGCATGGGCAAGGACTTCATGTCTAAAACACCAAAAGCAATGGCAACAAAAGCCAAAATTGACAAATGGGATCTAATTAAACTAAAGAGCTTCTGCACAGCAAAAGAAACTACCATCAGAGTGAACAGGCAACCTACAGAATGGGAGAAAATTTTTGCAATCTCCTCATCTGACAAAGGGCTAATATCCAGAATCTACAATGAACTCAAACAAATTTACAAGAAAAAAACAACCCCATCAACAAGTGGGGGAAGGATATGAACAGACACTTCTCAAAAGAAGACATTTATGCAGACAAAAGACACATGAAAAAATGCTCATCATCACTGGCCATCAGAGAAATGCAAATCAAAACCACAATGAGATACCATCTCACACCAGTTAGAATGGCAATCATTAAAAAGTCAGGAAACAACAGGTGCTGGAGAGGATGTGGAGACATAGGAACACTTTTACACTGTTGGTGGGACTGTAAACTGTTCAACCATTGTGGAAGACAGTGTGGTGATTCCTCAGGGATCTAGAACTGGAAATACCATTTGACCCAGCCATCCCATTACTGGGTATATACCCAAAGGACTATAAATCATGCTGCTATAAAGACACATGCACACGTATGGTTATTGCGGCACTATTCACAATAGCAAAGACTTGGAACCAAGCCAAATGTCCAACAATGATAGACTGGATTAAGAAAATGTGGCACATATACACCATGGAATACTATGCAGCCATAAAAAATGATGAGTTCATGTCCTTTGTAGGGACATGGATGAAGCTAGAAACCATCATTCTCAGCAAACTATCGCAAGGACAAAAAACCAAACACTGCATGTTCTCATTCATAGGTGGGAACTGAACAATGAGAACACATGGACACAGGGCAGGGAACATCACACACTGGGCCCTGTTGTGGGGTCAGGGAAGGGGGGAGGGATAGCATTAGGAGATACACCTAATGTTAATGACGAGTTAATGGGTGCAGCACACCAACATGGCACATGTATACATATGTAACAAACCTTCACGTTGTGCACATGTACCCTAAAACTTAAAGTATAATAAATAAAAATAATAAATAGAAAAAGAAAAAAAATAATTCTATAACAGGATTAGGACACAGTCCGTGAGTTTATTCATGACTAATTGTCAATTTTCTTTAGGATTCTAAGAATGTCACAATCCTCCTCAGAAACTTAATGGACTCATTTATGAAATATTGATAAAATATCTGAACTATTTTCTTCAGATTTCTGAGATCTCTCAGAATATTGTTGTTTCTTTCAGTCTGATTCAATTATTTAGAATTGTTATTATGTTCTCAGATGAGTAATTCTGGCTGGTATATTAGAAAGAGGTACATTAGGCCTGCAGCTTTCTTTTTTATGCACACGAAATCAATACTATAATGGAATATTTAGAAACCATCATTTATAAGAATCTTATGCCAAAATAAATTTCATTCATTATCTGTGTTTTATTTTATATGTAATACTTAAAAAAATATTTAAGTATAAAAATCTTATACAATCAAAACAATTTTGAGAATGAGTAAAAAAATTCAGAGAAATATGGTATTTTTATTACTATCTCAGGAAATACATTATAAAAAGTTGCCAAAATCATAATTAAATAGATTACAAAATAAAATAAATAAAATTTTCTCCCAAATAATGAATTGTATAGCTGGATAAAACTTTAAAAAATAACCAACCATTTCAGCATTCTGGAAATTAAACAAAAGTTTACAACAAACTAAGCAGCATTTGTTCATGAGAAGCGCTGATCTTCAAGAACACTGGTGTATTAGTCTGTTTTCATGCTGCTGATAAAGACATACCCAAGACTGGGCAATTTACAAAAGAAAGAGGTTTATAATGGACTTACAGTTCCACGTGGCTGGGAAAGCCTCACAATCATGGCAGAAGGCAAAGTCACATCTCAGTGGATGGCGGAAGGCAAAGAGAGAGCTTATGCAGGGAAACTCCTCCTTATAAAACCATCAGATCTCATGAGACTTATTCACTATCATGAGAACAGCACGAGAAAAACTCGCCCCCATGACTCATATACCTCCCACCGGGTGCCTCCTACAACACACGGGAATTCAAGATGACATTTGGGTAGGGACACAGCCAAACCATATCAAGTGGGAATCTTGGTCGTACTTGGCTTGGGCTGCTTCCATCCCCAGCTAAGTTGTCATGATAATTCTATCAGACAGGGCAGGGTATGAAAACTAGAAGCTTTACTGCTGGAGGGGATGAAACAAGTGGCAGACTTGCAATTTATTTGGGGATTAAACTGGGAGACTGGGAATTGGGACATCCATAAATAGATTTAATAAGTTCTCAATATATCCCTGGGTAAATGAAGGCTGAGTGCATGTTTGGCAGAAACCAGAGAGAGCCCAAACTGTTCACACAAATCTAACCAAAAGAAGGTTACACAGATGTGCAGCACAGAGAGAAGTTTCAGTGGAAAGTAAAATCATAGTCATACTTGGAAACTGTCAGACTCACAAATTGCTTGTGCTTTTAATGTCTCTCCATTTTATATACAAATTTATCAACAAAGCTTTGCAAATCTGAATGAAGTCAAAATAATTGAATCATACCAAATAGGTTTTCCAACTACAATGAAACTAAACTAAAGATCAAGAGCAGAAAGAGACTGGAAAAATCCCCAAACATTAGGGAATGTAAAAACATGTTTCTAAATAAACAATAGGTAAGAGAAAAAATTACAAGGGAATTAAGAAATCTTTTGAAGTGAATAAAAATGAAAAAAAATGCATGGGATGCAGTAAAGTAGTCCTTAAAGGAAAATACATAGTTTTAAATGTCTATGTCACAAAACAAGAAAGCTCTCCAACTAATAAACTAACTTTTCACCTTAAGAATCTAGGAGAAAAAAGCTAACTAACTACAAAATAAATGAAAGAAAAGATATAGATGATATTTAGACCAGAAATCAATAAAATAGAAAACAAAAAATAATGGAGAAAAATCAATAAAAGCAAAAATTGGGTCTTTGAAAAGATTGGCAAAACTGACAAATCTTCAACTAGCTTTACTAAGAAAAAATTGAAGACACTATAATAAAAATTAGGAATAATAAAGGGCTTCACTGTGTGACCTAAGAGAAATGAAAAGGATAAAGTATGATGAATACATTTGTGACAATAGTTATAAAACATAGGTGAAATGAATACATTTTTAGAAAGACTCAAATTACCAAAACTGATTGAAGAAGAAAGAGAACATTTAAATAGTCTTATAACAAATAAAGGCATTGAATTAGTAACTGGATGTCTTACTGAAAAAGAAAGCTTAGGCCAGGTGATTTCATTGGTGGATTCTACCAAATATTCAAAAAATGAATAATACGAATTCTTCACAAACTCTATAGAAAAATACAGCCAGGAACACTTCCCAACACATTCTACATGGTCAGTATTATGAGATTACTCAAAGATATCACAAGAAAACAAATCTACAGAATAATATCCCTCATGAATATCCACAAACAATTACTTAACAAAGCAAAGTAAATCATGAAAAATTGCTGGCAAGAATGCAAAATGACAAACTCACCTTGACTATGTGGCAGTTTCTTAAATAGTTAGACGGAAACTTACCATACAACCAGAAATTTTATGTCTAGTAAACTAACCAATAAAAATTACATATTATACATGTATACTAAAACATGTATGCAAATATTATTTAAAATATGGGAGAAAATCTCACGGAAAAACAAAATGTTGACTTTTTAAACAATGGAACATATTTAGCAGTAAAAAGGAGCAAACCACTGGCACATGCTACAACTAACCTAAAAACTAGTAACCTAAAAAACTAGTAAATGAGAGAAACCAGACACCAAAACTGTATATTGAATGATCCAATTTATATGAAATGCTTGGAAAAGGCAAACTTACAGAGACAAGAAGTAAATCAGTAGTTAGTTTTTGGATGAGGGATGTTGGAAGCAGAGATTGCTAGCAGCCTCAAAGGAGTCTTTGCAAAGATGGAAATCTCTAAAACAAGATTGTGGTGATGATTGCACAAGTCCATAAATGTATTAAAGTCATTGATTTGTACACTAACAATAGATATTTATGATATGTAAGTTATATCCAAGAAAATTGTTAAAATAATAATAATAATAATATAAAGAGCTATCCACATAGCTCTACTACTGCCAACTAGGATCCAATGAGATCTGTTCTAATTTGTCTCTGTTTCTAAAAACTCATAAAGATGGTGACTAATGCAGAAAAGAAAATGAGCCACTATTTCCTAAGAAGACAATGCTATCTTTTCAAACTTAACAACATTTTTAGTGTTCTTCACTATTATAATTGCTAAGTCTTTCTAGCCTTGCAGATGTAGCCAGTCCATTATGGAACTGTACATAGCAAATGCCTTTTTCAAAAATCAGAAGAATTTCTTTGGCTTGTTTCAAACAGCTGTGTTTCTGAGGCCATAAGATGGAGTTTTAAATAAGAAAAAAAAGGAGACTCATTTTTTGAGCATCACATTTTGTTCTTTTTTTTCTGTTCATTTCTCTTTAAGAGGAAATAACATTTGTTGAGCATACAGTAAGTACAAGATTTTGTGTTAGGTTCACTTACAATTATGAGATACATGGAGTTCATTTTATTTACAGATGAACAAACTTATTCTCAAAATTTACATGTGTTAGAGCTGAATTTCAACACAGAGATTTATAATTCCAAAACGTATTACCTATTCTTTCCACTCTGTTGCCTTGTGTTTTGCTGAGTACCTTCAAAACCATTGTACAGTTGTTGATAAACACTTACATCTTTAAAGTTAACAGGTTAAAAGTTAAAGGATATATTTTTAAAAAATTATGAACCATTTAATAGAAGATTACAGGTCTGTGTTTCTCTTTGCATACATTACAAAATTATAAATTATGATGCACCTGTATAGCTGTGTGTGTATACACACACATACATAGGTATAGGTATGAACAATGAATTTATAAATTCCTTGACTGTTGCCTCAGTTGTTCCTAAAATTTTATAGTAATAATTACTTACATTTCAGGTCCTCCTACTAAATTGTTAGTACGTTAAGAATCTGGGTCTTTGTTGTGTTCACTCTATTAATCTAGCACCCAACAAAATTTAAGTCATACCATGGATGACAAATGAATGATCATCAATGAGTAAACATTTAAAAATGCATCCACTGTGAGTTACAGAAACAGTTTATTTTATGCTGTACACATTTTTTTAATAAGTAGAAAAAAGTATATTTCCTTTTCGAAAAAAACATTTCACTGCAGATATCGTTACAGCAGTGGCTTTCAAACTTTTGGTTTGGGGAAACATATCCACTTTAATATTACTGATTATCTCAAGGAGTTTTTCTTTATATGTGTTACAACTATGTATATTTTCCATGTTATAAATTAAAATTGGGAATTAAAAATATTTATTAATGCATTTAAAATAATCTTATTCCATGTTAAAATAAATAATACTTTATTAAAAATAACTATTTGATAAGCAAAATTCATGAGAAGGGGAATGCTGTTTTAAATTTTTGTAAATCGGCTTAATTTGGACTTAATAGAAGGCAGCTGAATTTTCACAGCTACTTCTGTATCAAATCTCTTGTGAAGTCACATATTAAATAACCTCTGAAAAACTCTATTGTATATTCATAAAAGGATCAGCATGAAAAAGGCAAATTCTGCCCTTGCATTACTATTAAAATAGTCTTGGCTTTGTGGACTCCCCTGAAGAATCTTTGAGATCATGAGGGTCCCATTGACATTACTTTGAGAACCACATAGGAGAATGGTAAAAAACAAACCAAACAAAACATTACTTCTGTCTTCTATTTTGAAATTATTTTTGTTTTCCTAAATAAATTTTTTCTTTTATTTGCCAGGTATGCTTGTTTTATATAACTTTTATAAACTATTTATAAAGTTAGAACTGTCTATTAAAATATTATAAAAGATTCATAGTAGTTTTACTATCAATAGGTTTATGTAACCAAAATTAAAATTCACTAATGGCCATTTTCCACCATAAAAGAACAGGTATACTACATTTTATTCTTCACTACTTCCTTGCTTAAATCTTTGTCTTGTCTCACAAAGGCAGCTAAATTATTAGTTTTGATTACTTTTTCCCTATTGATGAAGCTTTTGGATACTGCTGTTTTACTGTGAACATGAAAAAGAAACAGCAATTGTACAATTTTATTATGGAAAATTTATATATATGGAAATGTAATATAAGACTACAATAAAATCCAACGTGGTTAATCTCCAAGCTCCAACAATCAACAAATTATGTTCAATTTTATTTTATCTACATCTCCAACATTCTCTACACTTAGCTAATTTTGAAGCAAATTTCAGATATGATATCATTTGATCTGTAAATATTTTAGTGTGCATTTCCAAAAGATACACTCAGTGGTAATTATAGTTAATAACAATATATTGTATTATAGAACAATGCTAAGACAGTTGTTATAATAACTCTAGCTAATTAACATAAGCACTATCTCATGTAGTTATCACTTTGTTTCATGAAACATATATACTTGTATATATACTTCAAAACATCATAATGTATATGATAAACACATACCATTTTATCAATTTAAAAAATACATAAACTCAATTAAAACATTAACATATAAATGAAAGTAGAGCTAACAATAAATCCTTAATATTACCAAATATTTAGTCAATCAAAGTAGGATTTTTATTGAGCAGAAAATGACACAGAGACTAGCCAGGAGTGTAAATATTCTTTGCCAGGAAATATTCAGTGCCAGTTTCTCTGGCACTGGTTTAAAACTTCCAGACATTGTCAAAGACTGTAACTTCTGGTTCTAGCCTCATATGTAGATGTATTTACAAAAATTAAAAGTAGAAGTAGAATATAAAATGCAGATTGTTTTAAAAGACTTAATTTAGTATAGGATTATTTTTCCTAAGACATATGGAAAATATATTCAGTAGTAATCAATACAGGGTAACTATAACAAGGAAACCATTTTTAGTATTATTTTAGGTAGATACCACAAGAAAAAGGGGCATTCAGAGAAAAGATATAGTACATTACTAGCAAATTTATTGTCCAAAAAAATAACATTTTCTTTTTGTGAAATTTATATACAGAAGAAATTAAATTTACTTTTGAGACTAGAATATTTACTAAAGAGCTGGCATTTATTTTTGTAATTCCTATGTTTTAAAACTTGTTTCTAGTTAAAGTAAAATAATAACTAAAGAGTAGGAAAGATAAATAATAAGGTTGAAGGAATAATTCTTAATATAGCGTAAAATAATACAGCTAGAAAACAGGCACATTGGCATAGATTCTGATGATTTAGGAAAAAAATGATTTGAAGATTTCCATTATACATCATGAAAAAATAATTTTGGCATTGTTAGAAAATACTATGTTGTTTTGCTTTATGAGCTGGAGGAAACTGAAATTCTTTTTTTAGCAAGTAATTACTTCCACAACAAGAGCCCTTGGATTTTAACATTCACCCTGGAATTTTCATCAGTACTTAAAATACAGTTTGAACAGCAATAAAACTATGAAAGTTTCAATTATCAGTTTCTGACAGAAGAAAAGTTACCTACTCTTAAAAGGAAAACAACATTAGACTCCTAATCAATTCATTCTCTATGAAAATAAAGAAGAAATTTGCTCAAAGCAAAACCTGTTCCACGTCCACATGTTCCATTGTCTAAGATCTGCAAGGAACAATAGCAATTACACTAAAGAAATACCCCGTTTGTTGTATCAGTGCTTAAAAAAGAAAACACAGTACATATACCATGTTAGATGTATTGCCTATACATATATAACACATAAATTAAATATATATTTGAATATTTTCTATTGATGCACATTGTCCATGATATTCAAAGAACATACTTGACCAAAAATATAGGTAATTTTCATTTTTTGAAATTTCATTAACTTGGAAAAATTTATATTTTATCTCATTGATTTAAATATGGACTATTGATTGTAATATAAAAATTTCATACATCTTTCAAAAAGCTTCCAGGTCATGAAAGGCAAGGGATGATTGAGGACCTATCAGATTGGAGGAGATATAGGAGTCAAACAATTAAATGCAATGTGGGATCCTAAATTGGATCCTGGACCAGAAAAAAAATAAATGGTGGGTTTGTGGAAAAGCTCAACATTTGTATAAGGCTTATAGATATTTTAATATTATCATATATATGTTAATTTCCTGGGTTTGATCACTTTATTGGGATTAGAAGTTAACATTAGTAACGTTGGGCAAAGAGTGGGCAAAAGGAATGTCTGTATTATTTTTGGAAATCCAAAATTATTTCCAAATAAAAAGTCCACCATTAGCTTTGGCTTATAAAAGAACACAAACAAAAAAAACTCCAGCATAAATTCACAGTGTTCAAATTGAGTAGAAATAGGGGAATTTGTTCCTTAGAAGAATTCAAGACAGATTTTTAATTTCCTGTATAAGAATGTCTTATATTCCTACAACCAGTGACTGTATTTCTTAATACAGCAATAACTGCAGAGCATTGTAATACCATGTGCATTAAAACATATGATTAATGAAAAGAATGATGCAAGTATGTACCATTTAGTACCTCCTCATATTAATGATCATGTCATCAATGTCTTTTATGTTCAAATGTATATCCTACTTATTTTTTTACATTTCTCAAAACACGATTTTTGATATAAAAAGTGATGTTTTCCAAAATGTCATGAGTCATCTAAAATGAAATCCAAATGTCAGTACATATGTAAATCTGACATTAGAATAAAAACTGGCTAGCCATATGTAGAAAGCTGAAACTGGATCCCTTCCTTACACCTTATACAAAAATTAATTCAAGATGGATTAAAGACGTACATGTTAGACCTAAAACCATAATAATCCCAGCAGAAAACCTAGGCATTACTATTCAGGACATAGGCATGGGCAAGGACTTCATGTCTAAAACACCAAAAGCAATGGCAACAAAAGCCAAAATTGACAAATGGGATCTAATTAAACTAAAGAGCCTCTGCACAGCAAAAGAAACTACCATCAGAGTGAACAGGCAACCTACAAAATGGGAGAAAATTTTTGCAACCTACTCATCTGACAAAGGGCTAATATCCAGAATCTACAACGAACTCAAACAAATTTACAAGCAAAAAACAAACAACCCCATCAAAAAGTGGGCAAAGGATATGAACAGACACTTCTCAAAACAAGACATTTATGCAGACAAAAGACAGATGAAAAAACGCTCATCATCACTGGCCATCAGAGAAATGCAAATCAAAACAACAATGAGATACCATCTCACACCAGTTAGAATGGCAATCATTAAAAAGTCAGGAAACAACAGGTGCTGGAGAGGATGTGGAGAAACAGGAACACTTTTACACTGTTGGTGGGACTGTAAACTAGTTCAACCATTGTGGAAGTCAGTGTGGCGATTCCTCAGGGATCTAGAACTAGAAATATCATTTGACCCAGCCATCCCATTACTGGGTATATACCCAAAGGACTATAAATCATGCTGCTATAAAGACACATGCACACGTATGTTTATTGCGGGACTATTCACAATAGCAAAGACTTGGAACCAAGCCAAATGTCCAACAATGATAGACTGGATTAAGAAAATGTGGCACATATACACCATGGAATACTATGCAGCCATAAAAAATGATGAGTTCATGTCCTTTGTAGGGACATGGATGAAATTGGAAATCATCATTCTCAGTAAACTATCGCAAGGACAAAAAACCAAACACCGCATGTTCTCACTCACAGATGGGAATTGAACAATGAGAACACATGGACACAGGGCGGGGAACATCACACACTGGGGCCTGTTGTGGGGTGAGGGAAGGGGGGAGGGATAGCATTAGGAGATATACCTAATGCTAAATGACGAGTTAATGGGTGCAGCACACCAGCATGGCACATGTATACATATGTAACTAACATGCACATTGTGCACATGTACCCTAAAACTGAAAGTATAATAATAAAAAAATGCAAAACAAAACAAAACAAAACAAAAAAACAAAAAAAATATTAGATTATATGATTTGCTTTACCTGAAACTGTGTGATCCTTTGAGTCTCTTGTTATTTTTATCCTTGCGTGAGGAAAGATGTAGTGCATAGTTTTCCCGTTCATCTGTATAATCTAAGACATACATGTAGTAAGGTAAAAAACCAGCATTAAAGACACTTAAAGTGCAATATACATAATTAGAATGGTTCATTTCAAAGCACATTGATTAAATCAATGGAACGTAGTAGGAGATTCTCACATGATGGCAATTTAAACATCTTACACTAACACTATATAATGATATTACTGGTTCTGAGTTCTTATGGTGTTTGCATTTATAACCAATTGCTCTTGCAAAATGACTTGTTGTATTTGAAAAATTAATAAGTGCATGCAATAGGTTCTGAAGAATGTTTGTTACTACAGTAGTATGCAGTCAATATTGGTGACCTCGGATATAGAATGTATTTGGAAAATTGCCAGCTGTTGATTTTGCTCTGGACAGTCTGGGAAAAGCATTTTTAATTTTCAGCAATTAAGTTGTGCCGGGGGAGAAAAAATAGAGAAGATCCCCCTACTTTGACATCTCTGTCATCATAATTAGGATTACTTTATGTTTGTGTTTCTTGATTTATTGTGGCATTGTACTTCTGCTGAGCACAGGTACTAGAAGTTTCATTGTAAACTAGACGCAGAGACTAATTCTATATAAATAAATAAAGATTTTGTTCACTTTAATACTTTTTAAAATTCAAAGCTTGCATTATTGATAGTGTTATGTCTCCTAGACATTCCTTAGGGTAGAAGAAGTAACACTTAAAGCTACTGTTGCAAATCTGTGATTTCAATTCTCATTATTGAGACTTGAATATGAGAATATTATAGACAGCATTATCTGTGTTTCCACCTGGTGAAACATCGTTTCTGAAACAAAAGTAAATTAGCGAATGCAAACTTGTGCTTTATATTTCATGGAACTTTGCTTTCAAAAGAGATTTGTGAAATAATGAAAGACAGAAATAGTAAGATATTTACTCTTACCTATATTAACAGGATTTTATTTGTATGGAATTTTGTATGTATTGTCATAGGAAAATTTTTGACTTAAATTACAACCAAAATAAAGTTTAATATAGATAAAAATTTCATATTACCTATTTTAGAATATGTTTAAGAAGTGTGTTCCCAAAAGATAAAACAGAATTTAGAACTAAAGAGGTATACATTTTGTGAAGAAAGATTCCTTAGAAAACTCTTGTGAACTTAATGTGTCCTAGTATTTCCAGCTGTAAAATTGTTAGAATTCTGGATATTAAAAACAAAACAGGTATTTAAAAAACTGAAGCTAAAATTACAGCCTTTAGCTTTTATCCTCTTTAGGAAAGAATAAGCTTAAGCAGGCCTTAGATTAACATAAAATACTCCCTAAACAACAGCAGAATCCTGTTAAGTCCAGGAATATTATGTGAATTCTGCAGAGTAAAACAAAAATACTGTTTACTAAATTATAAAAATATTAGGGTAAGTATAATAAGTCAATTCAGATAATTCATACTAATGCTAACTTTGTAAACCATTGAAAACCTTATTCATATTTGTAACAAGTGCTTACATTTTTCTTCTTTTTCCCTCTCTTCCCTGCTGTTCACTCTTCTCTCTCCTGTCTCTATCTCTTTTGTCTGTCTCTCAGTCAGCCTCTCACTCTTTCCTTTCTCTCTGTTACTTTTTGCCCTCCCCACATCTTTTTCTCCCACTTTTTTCCTTCTTCTTCCCCTCTTTTCTTTTCCTAATATGCATTTAAAAATCTTTATTTTTTACTAAAAATAAAATCATATGCATTGAAAATTTTGTAACTGTTAGGTGTAACTGAACTTTGCTTTGGTACTGCAGGTAATTCAGTAAAATTGGTGGATGTTACTTTGTTTTATTTCAATCTCTTCTAATCTCAGGTATTAGTTAATAATAATTCCAAAAAGTTATTCTTTCCATTTGGTCACAAATAAACTAAGAAAACACAATTTTGCCTTTTAGTATTCTTTCCAATTTTCAGGCTGGGGAGACGTTGATGTAATCTCACAGTGCATCTATCACACAGTTTAGAAGAGTCATCATCAGGCTTCCTAATTTTTTCACCAGTTTTATCAAATAGCCACTATTACCTTTTATTTTATAGTAGAAGGAATGTTGAACATATTAATTTTCTTGAATATTGCTTTAGGACATCTCATACAATCTCCTATAGTTTCAGAGACTGTCTACCCTGTCTGCAAGCAGCTTCATAAATCCACTTAATAAATCAGAAACACAAAGCTGCCATAATTATGATCAATATGACCAAAAGTCTATCTGTCTTCCATGTATGAATTAGATGTACGAGCTAGATGAATCTCAGCTTTTTAGTAACCACAGAGGGTGAATGTTGAGAGAGTCCTGTAGCAGATGGGGTTACGGGTAGGTGTTGCTAACGCCAAATAAGAGTAGGCACAAAGCCAAGGGGCAGAACTGATGTCAAGTGGTGCTACATTCCTCTCCCCAAGGGGATGGTCTCTGTTATCATTGTCTTTTGGTGATTCCTCATTGATAGAATTATTGCCTATAGGCCTCCCAGAAAGAGGGCTGTTCTTTCCTACCTACAAATATTTCAAAGAGTTATTTTCATGAATCAAGCCTGTATATATAAACAGTTTGTTAACAAAAAGGGAAGGAATTGAGCCCTTTACTTCACACACGGAAGACAGATAGCCTTCATGTCCTTTTTGTTAACATACTGTGTATTCATACAGACATCCCTTCCCTCACTTAAATACTACACATTCTAGATGCAGGAGACAGAGTGCCTTGCTGAGTTCCTAGCACCGTATGCATATATAACATGGTAGTTGGAATACAGAGCTGCTGCTCTCAAGAAGCTCACAGCCCAAGACATAATACATGGGGCACCACTGGAGCACAAAGGAAAAACACTTACCCCAGATTTCTGGGGAAGTGGGGGTGGTAGTGTCAGGGGAGTCTTCTTGCATCATGGGGCAGTTACATGGACACCTGGGTGATGATTAGGGTTTGCCAAGGGATGAGTGGAGGAAAAGTGTCCAAGGAGCGAAAACAGAACATTCAAATTCCTAGAATCAAGAGAAAGAGTGGCTCTTTCATGGGAGCTTAATGTACCTCAATGCAGCAGTTGGGTAGGAATTGCAGATGATGTGAGCGTTAAGTGCAGAAAGTGAAGGGATTTTATAATAGTCAAGAAGTGCTGACCTTTACAACCACCCTGTGAAAGGTATTAGCATTATTTATAGAGTAAGTGACTAAAGTAAAATTAAAAAATAAGAGATTAGGTTATCTGTGCAATTCACAAAGCAGTGCTGAATTTCTACCGAAGAAGGCAGAGGTTAAGCATATAGATAGATAGATAGATAGATAGATAGATAGATAGATAGATAGATAGGTACACACACACACATACACACACATATAAGTATACACATATATTTGAAATGAAACAAATATGGACTTTAAGATTCGGTTTATTTTTATAATTAATATGATTGTGTGTCTAATAAAAAATTTTCAGAAATATTCTTCTATGCCTCTAATGTTTGTCTTATGTAAACTAGTTTTAAAAGCAGATAAATTAGTGTTTGCATTAGTATTATTGGTTTTATTACTTTTGCCTCCAAAGCATTTTATGAATATGATTTCTTGTTATGCATATGTTTTCAAATAAAAGCATCTGAGTTTATTAGTACCAAGAGCTCAATATTAGCTTTTTATGATTAGAGATGCAAAGAAGTTAATAACATGAGAATGCCATTTTGTAATTCTCCAAGCCAAAATATAGTTATGATGAGTTAAAGAGGGAGACAGTATTTGAAGATAAATATTAATGCAAAAAGCATGAATTTTGAATTTTATATAATTCAACTTTTGAACTTCATGTAAATAAATGTATGTTATAGTAGAATCTATTTAGAAAAAATGATAAAGAAAAACAAATTATTGTCACAAAAGTCAGCACATTTGTTACTTATTTGGGCAAGGGAGTGGTTATGATCTGGAAGGGACATACAAGGGTTTCAGGGACAGGCAATGTTCCTTTTTTTGGCCTGTGTGGCGGTTTCATGGCTGTTCACTTTTAATCAGCTTATAACTTTGCATAGTTGCAGTTTCAATATTACATATATAGTTTTTTTGTTTGTATGTTAGATGTGAAAATGTAAAATATTATACAAATGTAAAAAATTACTTTTAGCAAGAATATACACATTATTATATTCACCTAACAAGTATGTCTACGTGAGCAGACATAGCAAGAAATTTATTAAATGATTCTCAAAAATATGTTCTCTGCTTAATTTTGACATTATATTGGTCTATAATTATATATTATTTAAACCATTATTACTATGTACCCAGTAGACCAAAACCATAAATCTGTATATGTTAGTAACATTAAATTAGAAACAAGAATGTCCTTAAAGATATGAATATTTCATTTACATATTTTTGGGCTGGACGCATTACTTTAAATATATCCTCAAAGAATATTAGTTTGATAAATTAGGTGGAAAAGACTATTCTCAGTGCCCGTGGAAACAGTAGTGTTGATAATAAATATTCCTGCTTGTTAATTACTAAACAAGCTGCCCTGTTTATTATATAGTTTATCTTACTATGATTTTGTTAAAGTATCTGTGTTTTCTTTGACTGGATCTAGGTTTGTGGGAAACACTAAACTTCAGAGAAACAAATGAGATGGGGAAGACATAACAAGTATTCCATTTTAGAGAGATTCATATAATAAACACATTTAAAGAAGTTATTTTTAACTGACATTTATTATCTTAGTAATTGTAGATAAAAGGAGCTAAATTTAAGATTTTAAATGTGCAGAATAATTTTATTAATTTTCTTACTTTCTAGCCAGATCTATTTGATGAGAGTTGAAACACAACCACAAATACAATTTCAATAGCAAGACAAGCTAATAAAAGCATAATTCAATACAGGCTGATATGTTTACATGAAGTAGAATAATGGAATTATATTGACATTTTAATGGAGGGAAATATATGCCTAAACAAAATATGTATTGAAGATATGAAAAACTAAAGATAGAAATTTATAGTAGAGAGGAATTAAAAAGATTCTAGAAAATATGATAGCATATAGAAAAACAGAACAAAATTCTAAGAAAAAATTCTGTTTAATAGGTAGAAATTTGTCCATGAAAACTTAAATTGCTTAGAAATAAATCAAATCTAAGAGTATAGTCAATGTATTTTAGACAGTACTTATAAATGTCAAAGGCTTGTTTTCTTTTATACCTCAATATGACAAACACTGAATTATAGTAAGTCTATATGGATCTTCTCAGTTGTTTAAAATATGGTTGTTTTCTATTTCAATTAATCACTAAACAGGATGATTAGGGGTTTATGTAAATAAAATAAGTCAACTATTTTGGATATTTCAATAATCATAATGAGTACACAACCTGCAAATATCTGATCTGCTAAGGCAATTGATTAAAGGCCACTTGGCTTACCTGAAGACTCTCCTTCAATTCACTCAACTCTTAGTCTCGTAGTTGTATTTCAAAATTCAATTCAAACATCACCTCATTTCTCAAAAGTGAGTGAGATCATGAATTTTGGTATCATATTTATTTAATTCTGAAATTTACCTCTAAGTTTCAATTTCTTCCTCTATAAGAATACACTGATTAGCAATATCTACTTTATGTGAGTTGTTCCACATATAAAATTCAAAAATACATAACAAAACAACTAACATTTCCATATAATAGATCCACTAAAATATCAGCTTCCTTTCTCCTCCAGGTTAAGCGTTCTTTCTATCCCAGCTCACTCGGTTTGGCCATGCTCTCACTTGCTCTTAGCATCTGAACATGTTGTTATTGGAAAGCACTGAAAATTACCCAAATCTATTTCACCCAATTGCTTGTAAGCTCTCAGAGCTCCATCTATTCTTCTTGTATAGCTGTGCTGGATATGTTATACAAACTTAATAATGATCTGTTGGAGGAATGAATCACTTAAATTGGTAGAAGTATCACAGCTATGCTCCATTTTCAGTCAGTCATAGCTGATGAAGTGAGCTGTGTTACTCCTTTATGTTATTGGAAAAAATCATTTGTGAAATTAATAAACAAACATCTCATTCCTTTTAGGACAATTAAGACCATTCTAGGGTAGACTTGAGTCTTTTTTGATAAATCTAAAAGAAATTGCTAAATATAGCACTTACTTGCTCTTGATGTTGACTGAGTGGTCTAGAGTGGACCAATCTTTCCGGCAGTTTTCGGTCCAGACCATGTCCATTTTCCAAACGAGACTCCCTGGGTTTATCAAACCAATCTGTTTCCTCACGACGCAGATGATAGGCTTTGGACACCAAGGAAACATCATACATTGCAACGGCAAGTAATACAGATGATTGAGGGAAGCAGATGTTCTGTAGTACTAGCATGCACTAGGCTTGTTAACCATACATGCATTTCAAACACATCTCCCCTTGGGACTAGAAAAATTATTTTTGTTATTATGCCAAAAATCAAATTATGTCAAAAATTTTAAACCATAGAATAGCCTAGAAAAAATGATGCACACAGATGTTCACAATCTCAGAGCAAAACAAAATCAAATTTTAAATCAGGAGAAAAAAGAAATTTAGATAGTGATAAAATAAATAAATGATCAAGTGGTCATTCTTCAAAAGGATCATTCTATTTAACCTCAGCCCATCAGTTCCCACATCCACACATTCTCTCCCATACTCTCCCCACAACCCACTAGAAATTTTTTTTTAAGGTAGGCCGATGGGTGCAGCAAACCACTATGGCACATGTATACCTATGCAACAAACCTGCACATTCTGCACATGTATCCCAGAACTTAAAGTATAATACAAAAATTAAAACAAAAAGTATTCCTTGTGTATGGAAGTTTCTGTCACTTTCCCACCATTACATCAACCCAGTGCCAATAAGTTGTTGCTGGCTTTAACATTATTTTTTGAAAATACGACATTTCTATGACATTCACAATGAACAAAAACATTTGTTTCTAAGAGAATTCTTGTGTTATTGTTAGGAACATGTGTGCCATGATTACGTAGTAGCCTAATATTAAAAATACCTCTATTGTAATTGTTAAATAAAAATAAAATGATTATTTTTTTAAGAGAAGCACTGATTTAGAAAATAGATTGAAGACTTGGTTGCCTGCTTTTTATACTCACACTGTGACAAAATTTCACAGATTACTTTTTTGAAAATGCAACTATATTTAAGGTACACAATTATTATTTTAAATTAAATTTCATTCATTAGTATCTCATAGGTCTTTTCAAGATATTCTATAATGACTGAACATCTTATTTTCCCTAATATATAGAATTTTCCTTTTAATAAATTGTTTTAGTCTTTGTAAAAGAATCTCTAATTAACAGTCTCTGGAAATACTTTGTTGCTTCCTGCTTCCTAAACACTAGAAGGAACAAGGCTCCTCAAGTGCTTATCCTTTAAAGATTTGTTGATGATGTTGTCAACCTCCACTTTCTTGAAACTCCAGCTTCTAGAATGCCATACAATAGCTTTATTTTTCTATCTACATTCCTGACTATCATCTCTTCCAAAACCTCCTCCCAACCTTTTCCCCTAGGCCATTTCCATCATTTCATTGCTGCCGGGGATGGCAAACCCACAGCATATGTACCACTACTCAACTCTATACCTCCTGTGGTCAACACTGCTACTTAACCATGGCATTTTCCTCCCAGAATACAAAATGAGCAACGATGTGTCATGGGTTAAGCAGTCTTAGATTTGAGAAAATACATTAACACATATCTGTTTTGTAATTGCATATGTACTTGACTGATCTCACCTATTCTAAGCTGCTTAAAGGCAAAGCTTATATTGTCTTTTTTTTCCCCTTCCCTCAATACTAAAATCAATGCCCTGCACAAGGCATAGCATCCAATAAATATTGGCATGAATGAAGCATAGAATAATTAGTCATCAACTAGAAAAAGTAAACATCCTAGTTATGATAAACACATTTAAAATATTAATTTGTCCTTTGAACCTCACTGATGCAGATATTTTTCACAATCTGCTCAATAATTATGGTTTTCCAGTCTTAATTTGAAACCAAGTGACTGAACTTACCAAGAAATTTAGTGTAATAGACATTTGACAAGGAAATACAAAACAAATTCATTATTTAATCATTAGTCTCTTAAAATCTATTAGATTATTCCCAGTGACACTGACACTACTTTTGTCTTACTTCTTACCGGATTTTATTATAGATTTCTCATGAAAATAGAACAATAATTTATACTGATTTTAATAAATTAATATCCTTTATGATGTAGTACAAGATTTCATTTGAATATATAACTTTCTTAATTGCATTTTAAATATAATTCTTTGAAATGTGTGTTTTGTTTGGCTGTGCCTATAGAAATAAAGTAGAAGTTCAACCTGACCCAAATTCTGTCAATTTATTACCAATAATTCTGATTATGTATTTTGATTTTGTTATTTTTTATAATAACCCTATGTGTAACTGAATAAAGATGACTATCATCCTTTGCACAGGAATTTACAATCAACCAAGAGCAAGCAGATTAAATGAATCTGCTTTTGTATTGAATTTTGTTTTCATTATTTAGAACCAGTTGTACATAAATGCTAATTGTTTATAACTGTCTCATCTTTCATGGTAAAATCTCAGTGAAAAAGTAAATTTTATAACAAAAAAAATTCTGAATTAGTTCAAATCGTTTGAAGGAGACTAACAGTATTTTTTTTTTAAACTTGACAATATTTTCTTGAATTCCTAAAAGTAAAATACAAATAAGTTATTTCTGGATCTAGTACTGTCCGCAGGCTACAGTTACATAAACAGTTTAATTCTTCTCAGTATCAAATATCGGTGAAATATATATACTTTTAAAAAGACAGTATATACTGGAGGACATGAGATGAAGCACATTTTTTTTTTGAGACGAAGTCTCACTCTGTCGCCAGGCAGGAGTGCAGTGGCGTGATCTCAACTCACTGCAACCTCCACCTTCCAGGTTCAAACAATTCTCCTGCCTCAGGCTCCCAAGTAGCTGGGACTACAGACGTGTGCCACTACGCCCAGCTAATTTTTGTATTTTTAGTAGAGATGGGGTTTCACCATGTTGGCTAGGATGGTCTCGATCTCTTGACATCGTGATCCACCCGCCTCAGCCTCCCAAAGTGCTGGAATTACAGGCGTGAGCCACCACGTCTGGCCTGTTTCTAGCGTGCTTCAAGCTAAAAATATTAATAAATATTAAGCAACATAAACTATATCTATATAGACTTTTCCTCAAGAAAGATATTTCAACATCAACAAATCTTTTAGAATATATCTAATGACTGTCTTATATCCTATCACTTATACAGTTTAATTGAATTTGGAAAAGCACACAACAAATAATTTGAAAGCAATTAAATTTGTTTTGTTCACAGGATACTAAATAACCTGTAGAATGTTATACTACTCAAAATTATCTTAGTATATTCAAATATAGATATAGCATATATTTGCTAAAAATCTGTTAAAAATTTCTAATACTTAATGAGTTAATAAATGTAGGAATTATTGATTGGAAAAAAGTAGTTTCTTCTATTTTTTTAAATACTGAAGGAATTCAAGATTTCAAACGAAAAGTACACCATTACTCATTAGAAGAAAAATAGTATGCTTATGTGATACATAAACAAAGAAAATATATAACATTTTACTACATACATCATTTAGAAGTAATCACTACAATTCACACACATACCATTACATATGTAATTCATATATAATTGCTATAGTTTTCCTGCCCCAATTTATATCAACATAATCTTTATGAATAATTTCCTTGTCTGCTTAATTTTAAAATATATTTTAGTTTAATTTCATTTAAATTTTAATTGCTTTACTTCTTTGGTATCATCTTTACACACTTCATAATTTTATATGCTGCATGGTATCTCATCCTCTATTTTATCAAAACAATGTTTTTCACACAGTCTTTGATGATTATGACCTATACATCATTCAAACATATAAAAGGGAAATAGAATATTCTGTTATTTTTATATGGCTCTACATATATGTAAGTGCCACGTATTGGGATATATAGAAACATCTAAATATCTGGCAGCATGTTGACAAAATATCTATGATGATAAATCAAACTCTCTTTAGATATATGCTCATGATGTACACACAATCTTAAGGCATTTCGTTATGCCATTGACCCTCTAGGGTTTTTGTTTTATTTTGTTATTTTATAGACATGACTATTGGATAAACTCTTTACTCTTCTGCAATTGTCATTTTCTATCTATAAAATGTTTATAAAATGTGGATTGTAAAAAGTAAGGAAATATTAAAGACTGTTCCCACATGATATCACAATTCTTGCAATGTACATTTATTCAAATAATCATCTAAATAAAAAACCCACAAATTGAGTATTTTATTCAATTAACTAATTGTCAATAAAAATGGTCAATCCAATAGCCTGTAGAGACGAAAACAAATCAGAAAATGACTAATCTATTGGAATTTCACAAACAAAAGCAGTTTGTCCTCCTTCAGATACAGTGATTATTTTAGTTCAATAAAAAAACTATTAAAATCCAGATTTGAATTCCTAAAATCTTATTCATCTAGACAAAGATGTAGGAAAAAAATCCTTTTCACAAAAATGTGTATTTTCCTGTGAGTCCTCAAGAAAGATGTTATGTTTGAAAAGGGAGATGTTCATGTTAGCTTAGTTCTTTGGAGTCTCTAAAGGAAGGAAATAATAATGCTTTTATTTGATCAAAAATATTTTATTTCCAGAACTCCATCTACATCTACATTCAAATGTAAACCAAAGGAGGTGAAAAAAAAAGGACCAAGAGTCAAGAGTCATGAATCCTCTTGGTATGGGCTAGGCTCTTCACACCTTTGTATCATTCCTCCCTCATCTTCAATATTAGACTTGGACTAGATAATTTTCAAAAATGTTTATGGTTGTATATCTTTAAACACAAAGCTACTTTAAATCAGTTTTTAGTTAAGTATTTACTTGTACTACTTGTTTATGGTTGTATATCTTTAAACACAAAGCTACTTTAAATCAGTTTTTAGTTAAGTATTTACTTGTTCAACATGGAAAACTAGCAAGTCAATTTAGGGCAAATACATGGGATGATACAAAAAACAAAATCAAGAAACCAAAGGAAAAGGCTAAATGGGCAAATCAGGAAGGTTTGAACTCTAAATAACTAAAATCAGAAAAGAAGTTTACAAGGTTTCAATTTTAAAGAATACTTCATACTAGTACAATTCTTTATTTTCATGTCTTATTTAGTACTAAACTTTCTAGCATATAATGCAAAATTACAAATTTGTAAATAATAGTATTCATAATGAGAGAGAAAGATAAAACAGAAATCTTTTATTTAAGGAAAATAACAAAATTCTACATTATACTAACATCAAGAACTTATCCAAAAGTTCTCAAAAATAGAAAATCTTCTGAACTAATGAACACTGATCTCATAAACATGCCATAAATGATTTT
Source organism: Homo sapiens (assembly GCF_000001405.40). Taxonomy (NCBI): domain Eukaryota; kingdom Metazoa; phylum Chordata; class Mammalia; order Primates; family Hominidae; genus Homo; species Homo sapiens. The sequence continues at coordinate 82,914,238 of NC_000007.14, forward strand.
CTATTACAAAGTCTATCAGAATAGTATTTCATGGCTCTAAACTTTAATAATTTCAGAAACTGAAACTGACCAATAACTTTTAAAATATATTTTTAAAAATGAAAGAAACTTACAATGAAAAACTTTTCAACTATGGATTTATAGGATGACCATATTTTATTGACAGAATTATTTGATAATGGTTTTAGAAAAGCAGACACCAAACAAATCAAGCAAACAATCAAGAAACAGAACAATAAAGGAATAAAGTAAAACTAAATAAAGAAAAGCATGCTACAGAATCTATACACATGATAAAATTTCCATTTACAAGAAATAAAATTGAAGTAAACATGCAAAAGACACACCAAGAAAAGTAGGATACATCTCTGGAGAAGGGAAATTAAACATGCAGAAAAATAAGAGTTTGAGTTTTGAGAGTAACAGGGTAGTTTGAGGCCCAATTTACCTTCACTGTCTGACATGGCATGTTGGAAGTCATCCATGATGAATGCTATGTCACGGTCATAGCCTCGAGTCCGTGATTCTTCCCTCATGTGTTGCTGAACTTCAGGCAATGAGTGGCTTGATCCAAACTGATCCCTGGTGTCTGCAGATATTGGTGGCAGGGGTCCAGCTGCAGCCCTGGCCATTCCCATTGGCTGGCCAACAGGACTGAGTGGGCTTTCTTCTTCAGAATTCTGGGCCACAATTGGTATTCTTCCTCTACTTTGACTAATTGGCAAACTGGTCGGCTTAGTTCTGGCAGAGGATGATGCATGACTAAAGGAAACATCTAGAGCTTCAGCCTCTTGAGCTTTCAGTCTTAGGGAAGAGCTAGAAGAATCCCTTTTAATTGATAAATCAAGCCCATAGACAGAGGAAGGTCTGGAGGAAGGTCTGGACCTGCTGCCACTACTGTATGGCTTATCCGCTTCATCCTGCAGAGCTGAGCGTATGGTATTTCCTAATGTGCCCAGTCCTGTGCCAAGAGAAGATCCCATAAATTTTTGTTGGTCTGTAATATTTTTTCTGAGGCCAAAAGTGATGTCATCTTGAAGGAGCCTTGCCCTGGAGGAAATGCCACCAATAGATGAAGTGCTAGAAGTCATATAGCTTGAATAATCAGGTTCAAGGTCTCTACTTTCTTGAATAGGTGAAAATTTTGACATTTTAGGGTCAATTAGTGATTTCTTATGCTTTGACTGCTTTTGATAAAGTATGGCTGCTGGCAGTTGTTTTGCTGCTTGTTTTTCAAGTGTGAGTCTACTGATGCTATACTTCTCAGATTTTGGAAAATGTCTGTAGCTAGTATCAGCATGGTAATAATGAGAAAGACCAGCAAGGTGATCTAAGCTCTCTGTCCCTCTACGAAATTCCTGTTTAATCTGATGTTTCAGAAGCTTTAACTCGTAAGGATCCTCCATTGGGTCTTCCTCCGCCTTCACATAACTATGCAATCTAGAGGAAGACTGTAAAGGTGCTAGGAAATCTGTCACTTCTTGAGACCGGCGTGTCTCAGTGGTTCGAAGGAGACGGTCTGTTTTTGACAGATCCTTTTCATGAAGGCTAAATGCGGTGCTTAATGCCGCTGTTCCTTTGGTGATCTCTCCAATGTCGTCAATTAGGACATAATTTCGTGGAGTATGGTGATCAATATCTGCATAGAAAGAATCTGCAGATATGCTTGATATTGGACTGCTTGCCATGCTACTTCTTTCCTCCAAACCTATTCTCAAGTCTAAACTATTGTACTTACTACCAAGATGGGAAACAGCAAATGTGTTATCCGTAGAAACAGGTGCTATCATAAGGGGTTGGTTGCGAATCACTTCATAGTTTGAGGTTATCTTGGGCTCCAAATATAATGTAGTTTGCCGTGGCTTCTGTTGTATCACCATCATCTGTGAAGGTAACTGATAAGAAGGCTGTGGGGTTGGTGTAGGTTGAACTTGAGGTGTGAAGGACATTGTTGCCACAGCTTGGAATGTTGGCTGAGTCTGATAAGGTGAAACTTGCTGATGGTACAAAGTTTGTTGCTCAAAATGAGACTGTTGAGTGTATGAGGTGGGTGCTTGGGTAGGAAGAGCAGGGGAAGAGTACTGGTATTGTGTGTAAGGACTTGTCGGAGGAACTAGTTGAGATTCTGTTTGGGTTTGTGGTGGTATAAACTGGCTGAATTCAGTTTGGGGAGCAGTTCTTGGTCGCTCAATGCCATGCTGACTTTCTATTCGGGTTGGTCTTGTGCTACTCACTTCACTGTCAGACATGTAATCACGATCCTCAGCTACTCCCTGGAGGTAGGCTCGTTCTCTCTTTTCTCTCTCCTTTAATAGGGCCTCTTTCCTCCTGTTAATTCCCATTTCCAGGTATCGTAGCTTAGCATCAATCTCCTTTTCTTCTTCATCAAGCTCTGCTTGTTTCTTTCGAAGTTTTGCAGACTCCCTTTCCACAAGATCAAGCTCTCTGTCTATGTCCTGGAGAATCTTGGCTCGTGCCATTGTGTTGGTTCTGCAGATCCTTCTCCTGGAAACTGTGCCCATTGTGCTGAATGTGGATTGAGTTCCTGTGGAAATCTCCTCAGGAGGTGGATTTGGCAGAGTTCTTTTAACTTTTTTCTGGGCTCCAGAGGATGTCATGGTTTGAGAACCTTTAGTCTATAATCAAGTAAACAAAATATAGTACTTTAGTATAAAGAAAAATAAAAACCAAATCTACTTCCATGAATTATATTTAATAAAAATGATTTCATGTATGATTTTGCTATCGCAGCATGATAAAATAAAATATATGCATATAATTTCAAGTATTGGTCACAAATACAATTAACTGAAAAATAATTTTTTAAATAAATTGGCTAATTATAACTCCTACATTAGCAGTTATAAAAACTTATTTTCAAGCTAAATTAATATACATAAGATTATTTACTGAATCTATTTCCAGAGTGTTTTATTAACCATCTAAAATTTAAATTACATTTGTTGGAGATGTTCATTCACCAAGTTAATGCGCCTATCTTCTCATTCCGACTTTTGCCCCCTGGAGTGGCTGTCATTCCCATTTTTTAAATTACATCTTCAAATTATCTAATGTCTTTTTTTTCTAAAAAAGGAATAATCTGGACTAATTTTCTATTTAATATTTCAAGATTTTCATGACTATTTGGTTTTCTTTGACTTTATTATCCTGCAGTATAGTTTCTTTTTAATGCTCTAGTAACTTCCATATGAAGCAAAAAGAACTGACCAATAAAACTCCATTGGAACCTTTTAAAAAATCAGATAAAAGTATAAAGTTGGTGAGTTTTCAGATATTTTTCATTTCATTTGGTTAATTTGTCATAAACTTGCTTTCTAAGAATTGAAGGTCTTGAGAATCATACAATTTTAGGATATCAAAAGACATGAGAGATTACTTTGAGCACTTACAGTTAAAATAAACTGATGTACTTCAATTTACCTAAGTATTCAGTGGCACATTTACAACTAGATCTCAGGTCTTCTGCTTTCCAGTTGCATAATCTTTACAAGATGCTTCCTTTTCTTTTCTTTCTATTATAATCCAAATACATTAATTCTCCAATTTTCCCCAGTCACCAAATATTGAGAGTAGAAAATAGAAAAAATAAGAGTCTATAAATATTGTACCTGAAAATTGTGCCTTATTAATTAGATCACATTTTTCCAAGACTCTGTACTTTCATTGCCTTTTTATTATTTCCAAATTAATTTCCTTAATAATTTTTATTTGTTTTCTGTTATCATATTTCTGCTCCCTTCATGTAACCCTACTAGTTGTTCCCTTAATAGACATCATAATATGAAACAAAATCCTAAAGGTTTATTGAAGTTTATATGTTTCTAAGACTTAAAATATTTGGATGGAAATGAATAAATGTTATGAATCTTTGAAATAAGGTAAAGTGACTTTGTAGCGGTAGTTTGTTTTTCCTCATAGAGCAATCCCAATGTATATGGAGTATTGAAGTCCCCAAGGCAGCTGTTTGACATGTCATTTATTTCTTCCTACTCATTCTCAATTCTTTTCATTTTATAAAATACTCACAATTAATCACAGAATTGTTATAAAAATCAAGTGAGACAAATATGTAAAATACTTACTACACAACACATTACAGGCACCCATTAAATATCAATTCCTTTAAAAATCTCTATATTTCTATAGAAAACTATGGTTTCTTGATTAACCCACATTCTAGATCTTTACATATTCTTTCACTTGTAAAAAAGTACACATGTAACATGTTGAATATCAATGGGCCATAATTAAATGGTAGTAAAATAAAAATTAAGATCCTACAATAATTTTCTTGATACTAAAAATATTAACATAGATATGTCATGTTTTTTGAAAAGTTGTTCCACAAAAACATCTTCAGTCCTCTGATTATAACGTTGTTCAACAGGAGGCTGAAAACTACATACTATTTGTTTTTTCTTAACATGTATGTGGTAGATCTGGCATATGCATAAGCATTTGAAAATTTAAAATGTTTACCTATTCTACATGATTATGATTATGAAATGGTTTGACAAAAGGGTGTTTAATTGTGTTACTCACGACCGTGATGCCTAACAAAGATGTAATAAAAAGAGGAGAATATGAAATGAAAAATATGACCAATATTTTATTCTAATGTTTGGTCACTACCGGAAATTTTAAATATAACCACTGATAACATTTTCATAGTCCAAAGAACTTAATAATGGTTGAAAATTCAAGTCTCTAAGATGCCCAGCTTAGAAGCTATATTTGAACTTGGAAGTCACTTCTTTTCAAAATGCACATTACAAATAGTTATATATTGTACATATGTGTAAGGTAGGCTTGCACTTCTTGTGTTTAGGTGAGAAAAAAGAGAGCAAATACTGACCAATCACTATACTTGTCATATGCTCTTATGTATTGATGGGTGCCGCAAACCACCATGGCACGTGTATACCTAAGTAACAAACCTGCACATTCTGCACATGTATCCCAGAACTTAAAGTATAATTTTTAAAAAAGAGAAAAAATATAGATCATGTCAGGAAAGTTCTAGTGGGAATGAAAATGGAGGAGTACTTGACTATTGAAGAGGCTATAACCCAAAAGCCTGCAGGAGCCAGAAGGTAATGGAGTGAATGTGTTGACCTGAGAATTTAAGTTCCATCTGTCAAGGCTGGCTCCAGAATATTGCTGCCATGAAGAAATAGAGACCCAGTGTGGTGAGATCTGTTTCATTCAAGAAAATCCATATTTTAAAATTTTGGTCTCTATTTTAAATGGTTTTAAAACATAGTTCAGCTCAAAGAAACCAAGCCTTTAACTGCATTGACAGGTTGAAATAAATCTCTGTTCCAAACCTAAAGAAGATTGGATGCCCACTGAGAAACCATTAGAGGGTCAAACAGCATTAACGGCTAGTTGAGAGAAAGCAACAGATTTTAAACAATGAAGGAGGATGTGGGAAGAATACAAGAGCCCTAAAGAAAAACTTCAGTCCTTTATTAGCGTTTTCTGCCATCTTTTGGTTAAATTGTAAATATGATCATCCATGAATTTTCCTCCACAGCATAAATTTTCTTTTAGATTTTCCCTAAAATACATAACTATTCAATTCACTTAGACAGATATTTATTAAATGTCTCCTCTCTTCAAAGCACTTTGCTAGGCACACTTATACAAAGAGGATCTGAACTATAGAACCATTAGAACCCCACAGATTTAAATTTAAGCATGTGTGTGAGGGGTGTGTACTATGTTTTAGGACTGGTTAGTATCACTTAAGAGGACAGACAGAAATACAATAAAGAATTTGAAGTAATGTCTTACCAACTTATAATTCAAAAAGAACTGACTCTGACAAAGACAATAAAAACTTCTCAACTAAGTATTTAATTCTAATTTAAAAAAACCTCTCAACTAGTTATTTAATTCTAATTAAATCAATATAACATAAAATAAGAGTTCAGAACTCCAAATACAGAGATAAAAGCAATACAATATAATTTATTTTAAAAAGATCAAAATTGCATAAAGAAAGTTTATTATGATTAAAGATGATGTAGCTGGAAGCCATGACTAAAGATGGCAAGACAGTCTAGAAAAAAACTTGTTGTTTACTATGGTTTTCTGTGTTGACCAGCTCTTAAAAGTTGTTTTCAGATAGACCTGGTGCCTTTAATCTAGAAAAAAAAATTGTACTAAATATACTGGATATATAAATTTAAAGTATTTTAAAATACCTGTGAAAATAGACAAAGAGAAGGGAATAAAAAGCCCTAATAATAGAATAAAGGTTTAAGAAAGACTGGAAAAAAATCACTAACTGCAAATTGCAACATCAATGAGGTAATCAAGCTAACAAACAAATAACCTTCAGGATAAGGTTTGCTGTCCAAAGTAATTTTAAAGAACATTTTCCTTAGGAAAGTTAATTTATATAATGCAATTTATACCATTTCTATATGGCAAAGGAAATTTTGCTTGTTTTGGAGTGTTAGGAATATTAATGAAAATAATAAGTAAAGCACATAGCCACACTATCCTAAGTGACTTAAATATATGTATGTGCATTAATTCATTGTCAGAATTCTCTGAGCTCAACATGAGGATGAGAAAAGAAAGATCTGTAGTTTTTTCAAATATTGAAAAACTAAAAATACACAGGGGCTATTGTTTAAAGTCCTAGATGCTAGACCAAAATTATTCATCCAGTATTATATATAATAAATATGAAAACATTCAATTTATTGATGTATTCAAAGAGTTGTTAAGTATAATTCTAAAATGCATGGCTCTAGATGCTAAAGACATAGATACAAGAGACACTAGATGGAAGAAATCTACACTTTGCCCACAAATAACTAATAAATTATGAATATTTTTGGGAAATTATTGTTTGAAGAAACTACCTCACCATACTGCCCAAAGCAATGTATAGATTCAATGGTATTTCTATCAAACTACCAACAACATTTTTCACAGAATTATAAAAAAACTATTCTAAAATTCATATGGAACCAAAAAATAGCTCAAACAGCTAAAGCAATCCTAAGCAAAAACAAACAAACAAACAAACAAACAAAAACAAAGCTAGGGGCATTATACTATCCAACTTTATACTACAAGGTTATAGTAAACAAAACAGCATGAAATGGGTACAAAAACAGACACATACAACAATGGAACAGAATATAGAACCCAGAAATAAAGTTGCACACCTACAGCCATCTGATCTTCAACAAAGTTGACAATAACTGGCAAAGGAGAAGTGACTCCTTATTCAACAAATGGTGCTAGGAAAACTGGTTAGCCACATGCCAAAGATTGAAACTGGACCCTTTCCTTATACCATATACAGAAATCAATTCAAGATGGAGTGAAAACTTAAATATAAAACCTAAAACTATAAAAACCCTAGAAGAAAACGTAGGAAATGCAATTCTGAACATAAGACTTGGCAAAGATTTCATGATGAAGACTCTGAAAGCAATTGCAGTTAAGAACAAAAGTGGACAAGTGGGACCTAACTAAAGAGCTTCTGCACAGCAAAAAAACTATCAACAGAGTGACAGAAAATCTATAAAACTGGAGAAAATACCTGCACATTATACATCTGACACAGGTCTATTATCCAGAACCTATAAGGCACTTAACAAAAAAAAACACACAATCTTATTAAAAAAATGGTCAAAGGGCATAAGTAGACATTTCTCAAAAGACATTCACATAGCTAACAAGCATATGAAAAAATGCTCAACATCAGTAATCATTAGGGGAATGCAAATCAAAACCACAATGAGATACCATCCTACACCAGTCAGAATGGCTATTATTAAAAAGTAAACAAAACAAAACAAAACAGATGTTGACTAGGTTGTGGAGTAAAAGGAATGCTTAAACACTCCTGGTGGAAGTGTAAATTAGTTCAGCCACTGTGGAAAGCAGTTTGGAGGTTTCTCAAAGAACTTAAAAAAAACCCTACCATTTGACCCAGCAAAGGAATTGCTGGGTGTATACTCAAAGGAATATATATCGATCTACCATAAAGACTCATGCATGTGTATATTCATCACAGCACTATTCACGACAGCAAAGACATAGAACCAAGCCAGATGTCCATCAATGGTAGACTAGATAAAGAAAATGTGGTACATATATACCATGAAATACTATGCAGCCATAAAAATGAATGAAATCATGTCCTTTGTGACAACATGAATGGAGCTGAAGGCCATTATCCTAAGTGAATTAATACAGGAACAGAAAACCAAATACCACATGTTGTCACCTATAAGTGGGATCTAAACATTGAGTACACATGGATACAAAGAAGGGAACAATAGACACTGGGGTCTGAGGGTGGAGAGTGGGAGAAGAGTGGTGATCGAAAAACTAGCTATCAGGTACTATGCTCGTTACCTGGGTGAAGAAATAATCTGTAGTCCAAACCCTGTGACATGCAATTTACCTATGTAACAAACCTGCACATGTACCCTCTGAACCTAAAATAGAAGTTGGAAAGAAAAAAAACGAACTACCTCATCTTTTGCTAAATAGTTCTCAGTGTCAATATCAAAGATATACTTCTAAACCATTCTGAAACCATCATACTGCTAGAGAGACATAGCAACATATATTTCATTTTATAAGTATAGAAAGCCATACCTACTGTCAGAAATAAATGTTCATCATAATAATATCTTGGATTTTTAGGTTTGTTCTCTCAACTAAGCAGGAAATATTTGTATGCAGGCCCTTTATTTAGGTGGTAGAGATGTGGATTCTTTTTCAAACAGCATAATTTCACAAAAAATTATCTGTAAACAAGATATTTTGATACATACTCCTTAAGAGGTTTTCCATTTAACATGACATAAGGTGAGTTAGACGAGTATATAATTATGTATATGTATTGGGAACTGGATAAGAGAGAATGATTGATTAAGATATAACAGGAAGCCTGGTTCTTAAAGAATGGATGGTATTTAAACAGGAGAATGCATTCTAAGTGCAGGGAAAATAAGAAACTTAATTTTTTGAAAAATATGAAGGATAATCTGGTTTCATTTTGGGCTAGTGATGCCTTAATTCCTGTGAGATGGAAACACATCCAGAGAATGCTCTATGCCAACAGAGAGGGGAAAAATGCAAGAGCAAATACAGAAAAAAAAAGTTCAAAAGCAAACTACATATTAAAATCTTTATTCATTTTCTTCTTTAACTGATGGAACAAGCAGCAGTGGTTATTACATACCAGTCAAATTAACTCCAATACCATGTGAAATCCCAGGGCAAACCTTCAAACTGTAAATGTGCAATCACTGACAATGATTTCTAATGCAGTATGTTAGGTAGCAATCAGTGTGGCTCTGTCAAAGAGAAAATTGTGACAGCTCAATTTAATTTTCTTTAATTACAATGTTGCACTCCATGTAGATAACATAGAAGAAATAGATATATTCTAGCAGTGCTTGAGCAGAACATTTAATGTTTTCCTATGACAGCCAGCAACATAGTTTTGGCCATAAGGATGGAAAGTAGTAATAAAATTTGTCAGGGATTCATGTACCAACCATGGCTATTTATGGTCCAGCATCAATATAGGTAATAAATAAATCTTTCTCATACTTGACAGTAATGGCATTTTGGACCAGATGATTCTATATTGTTAGATGTTTAGTTGCATCTCTGGCTTGTACCCACTAGATACCATCAGTATACCATGTCAATCAAAAACGTCACCATGCATTGGCAAATGTCTCCTGGAAGGAAAAACAGACCTTGCTGAAAGACACTCATGCACGTGATATACTAAATAATGTCCTCAGGCAGAAAATCCTGATTGATTGTTAATTAATATATTTATTGATGATGAGAATCCTACTATTTGTTTATCATAGTGCCTTACTCTGAATGCGAAAAGGCTGACTTCCTAGAGTAACTAGAAATTAAATAGTGCCTTGAAAAGAGAACCGGAGGGAATAAAGGGTAAACAAAAAAGATACATTCTAGGTTATGGTAATGACAGGAGAAAATTAATAAGGATAGGAATGTACCTGATTATCTTGCCTTGTTATAAATTCTTAGGACCCTAAAATTAATCCCCTTTATTGTATAGAAAAATTCTTAACTATTAAATTATCAAAAACTAATATTCAAAAGGTATTCAACTAGCTATTTTAATAATACAGTTTTATTAGAACACAGGAAGAAAAAGACAAGGTGCCTACAATTACAACAATGAGCATACTCAGTGAAGAAGATGAATCCTTCTAGCTTAACCCTATAAAAATCTTGAAAAATTGTCCACAACTGCAATAATTATGGAAAAGTTTGAGTGTAAGGAACTGCCAGTCTGACTGAAAAATTATGTAAGTCCTAGTATGTTGTTAAAATTGTCTGTTACTCTAAGTTTATAAGAAGGATCAATGATGTAATTAAAAAGAGATTAAAACTTTAAAAAAGAAAGTAATTATTTAGTTTGAGAAATTAAATACCAGAATCACTAAAGGAGATCAGGTGCATAGCTAAGCTTAATTTTAAAATTCAAGAAACTCCTACTATCTTAAAAATAACTTAAGAAAAAAAGGAATTAGAACAAAAAAATTTGATAGCTTAAAAAAAGTTAAAAAATAGATGGAAACATTTTTAATGCACAACAGACATTTACATACTGTTCACTGTACTAAATACTGAGATTAAAATGATGAATAAGACACAGTCTCCTCCCTCTAACTGTACAAGAAATTAAAGAGAACTTGAGAATGGAAATTGCTCTTAGGGTCATTTGTCCCATTTTATTTCAACTATCTTCATCCAGGAACTGCACTGACTTTGAATACAAGAATAAGCCTTTTCTTTGCCTTGGTAAGAAGAGTAATACTTATACATACTATACTCCTCTCTGACTTTATTTTCTTCCGCTCTGCTCCTGGCCATTCATTCTTTTTAGGGTGTAAAAATCATCTAAAAAGAGCTATTTATGCCTCTTAAGCATTGGGAAGGGAAGTGAAATATGCAGGGTATTTTTTTTTCTCTCCAAACAAGAGGTCTTTAAAATATATAAATATAGTGCAGTAAAGGAATTAACATATTCCTTTGATTTTAGGAATTTAGGTTGGGAGAGGATGATGAAGCTGTAAGGCAGGCATAAGGCTACAAATTAGGAAACATCCCTTTACACATCCTTCCCTTTAAATAGACTGGAAGCAGAGTTTCACTCTATGAAATGTCAATGAAAACAGCAATACACCTTCTAGGGGTCCCCACCTGCACTCCAACAGCTGTAGCTTCCTGTTTTTAGATAAAATCACAGTTAAATATAGAAATATTCAGCAGTCTATCTTACACACAATACCATTAGTAATGTGTTGCCAAAATAGACCCATTATTAAGCACCATCCCTCTATCCTCTGCTTCTACCCTCTTTGGCTCTTTGGAGATAAAACATACATGTTTAGTGCAAAAGCTCAAGAATTTTTGTTGCTTTTTTTTTTTTTTTTTTTTTTTTGAGACAAGCTCTTGCTCTGTTGTCCAGGCTGAAGTGCAGTGGTGCGGTCATGGCTCATCACGCCTTGACCTGGACTCAAGTGATCCTCCCACCTCAGCCTCTGAGGTAGCTGGGACTCCAGGTGTGCACCACCATGCCTAGCTAATTTTTATTTTTATTTTTGTAGAGACGGGGTCCCACTATGTTGCCCCGGCTGGTCTCAAACTCCTGGGCTCAAGAGATCCTCCCACCTTGGCTGCCCCAATTGTTGGGATTACAGGTGTGAGCCACCACCATCCTATTGCTTCAAGGCATACAAAAATAAGAAAGATAACAGAGGAGCGACCTGTGAATAAGGAAATTCTAAATGATACCATTCGTGAAAAAATACTTTCAACATGAATAAAATGTTTAAAATCCATTAGCATTGCAATAGGGCACAGTGTTTTGCATGTAGAAAACAAGACCATCAAATTCTTCAATTAGAGTATTGTGAAATAGTTTAATAATTGTTTCTATGAATTAAGGCAATATATAAGTAGCAGTATCATCACTATGGGTCTATGTTTGAGGTATTAAAAATTATAGACATCTTTATTCATAAACAGTCTTGAATCTCTACTGCCATGAAACAATATACCATTTGTGAAAATAATTGAAAAATTTTTTAAAGGTAGTTTTTCTCTAATTTTAAGATTCCAGTGGCAAAAAATGTGAGAAACTAAATTATAGGACCCTATTAATAATAGAATAAAAACAAAATAGAACATATTTAAAAGTCGTACATGTATAAGTTATTTATCAAAGTCTAGTAATACATAAAAAAATTCTCTAATTGATACTGTGAAAACAGCACTCAGTGTTTTATCAGACATCTCTAAGCTTTTCCTTAATGCGCCTCTTGTCCCAGTTTGTTTTGTTTTCTTGCTTAAAGTCATTGCTCTTGGGCTGAGCAGTCAAGCAGAAAACTAGTTTCTACCTCACTGGACAGAAGCATTAGAGATGCCAGTCTGTGTGACACTTATTGCATTATATTTTCTGGAAAGTCCCAAAGAGATTAATTTCTTTTCTTTCCTAAAATCTGTATAAAATATTTTGGAAGGCCCTTTCAAAAGTTTTTTTAAGGTGAGCATTTTTTGATATGTGAATGTATGTGTACATTTTTCTCCCTCCCTCTTTCCATCCTTCCCTCCCTTCCTTTTGCTTCCTTCCTTTGTATGAAATCAGACGGCTATACTACAACAAAGGGAACAAAATATATCCTGTTCATATGGTTCCTGAATATAGTTCTGTTTAACAGACAAAATATTTAGGTTTCTTTTTTCCTTTCTTTTTTCCTGTCTGTCAACCACTTTATTCAACTATCACACATATAAAGAGTTCAAGAGGAGCATTCACACTCTAACAAGAGACTGCTTTAGAAAAAGATGAATTCTTTCGGATACTCATTTTTGTCAAATGGCAGATCCAGCACCATAAGAAAATTAGGACCAATTGTACACTGCCTTTGGGGTTTTCATCTATAACTTTTAATATTTATATAACTAGCGTAGGTTTAAAGTACTTTTCACACATACGATCCTTGGCTATTTCGCTTTCATGAGATAACCACTATTTTTTTAAATCAATTTGTTAATTATCATTCTATGTGTAAATCAGAGGTTCTTACTCTTTCCTAGAACAATCCATGTATGCATTCGTGTTTTTGAATTTTCAGTCTGGAGCCTTGTCATTTCAAAACTGGAAAATGACAATAGCTTTCTAGAGAGTGCCCTTACACTTGGCTATCTCTGTGAGACCACAATCAGCATATCGATCCTTTTTCTTTTTCTCCAGGTTTCTTTACTGATGATTATACGGCATCCAAATGGTTTTGCCAGGATTTCAAGGATCGGGTGAAAGCTCACCAAAACCCATCTTGTTTATTCTTTCTTCTCATCATGGTCTTTTAAATCTCACTTTAGTAAAATTCCTCATAATCTCACTGCTTATTCATTCTTGCACTGTATCTTTATACACATCAATTAATATTTGTTTACTAGGCACTTATATTGCATTCCCTACATAAATATATATTTTCAACATATTCAGTTGTAAGCATTTTATACCTGCTTTCAAGTGCATACTATAATTTTAGCTAGGATATATAGACCAAGGTTCAAAGCAATGCCATAGTTCATTTGCTGTTAGCTTCAGAAAATGGGAGGGGTGATCTGAATTTACTGTTCAGCTGTAAAAATCATTAATTAAATTTGAGTCTAATTTAACTAAAATTTATTTATTCATTTATCTATGTGTGTAAAAGCAGTCCTCACATGCATGGGCTAATTATTTCAGTTAGCATAATACTATTTCTTTGTGGGTGAGTAGAGAAAAGCCATGCTAACCAATTTAAAAACATATACAATTTATAATTTAGAATCGCATTATTGAATAATATAGACAGGTTTCTAATTGTTCTTTTAACTGATGTCCCATAATATTGTGATTAGCATAGACTAGGCATTCAAGTGTTTGCTATATGTACTTGAAGCAAATGTTTAAACAAAAGAATAATGTCCTTGCAACTAAAGCCACTACTACATTACTAAAAGGGTTAATGTAATAAATGATATGAATTATATTTTTGTCAGTGATTTAGGTCAATTTGTAGATAATCTTTATTTATATAACAGTGTCCATTCACTTCAAGTTTATAAAGTACTAGCAAAACTACACAGGTCTGTTAAGAGTGCAGTGGCATGACCTCCACCTCACAGGTTCAAGTGATTCTCCTGCCTTAGCCTCCCGAGTAGCTGGGATTACAGGCACCTGCTACCACGCTCGGCTAATTTTTTTTGTATTTTTAGTAGAGACAGGGTTTCACCATGTTGGTCTCGAACTCCTGACCTCAGGTAATCCACCCGCCTCGGCCTCCCAAAATGCTGGGATTGCAGGCATGAGCCACCGCGCCTGGCCTGAAAGAGAAATATTTTAAACATGGGTATAGAAACAAAAGCAAGATAATTCTGAACTGGAGCTATCGAGAAGCTATGGGAAGCACAGGTGGTGGAAACAAGATGTAATTGCTCATCCATACCACATACTATACAGTGGTATGGATACACATACTGTACAGTGGTATACAGAAAAGGCAGAGTTAGACACAGCTGTTGGCTTATCATTTAGAAAGGCATTGGTAATCCTGAGAACAGTGGTTTCTGCAGAACAAATATACTAGGTTGAAAAATAAATAAGAGAGAAAGTAAAACCAGAGAGGATGAACTCTTTACGGCTTGCTAACTGAGATACAAGGTAGTTGTCTGAAGGTGAGACTTCTGAGAAAGAGTAGTTTTTAGGGAAAAGAGGCATAGTAAGAAACAGTCTAAGGGTCAAGAGCAAGAAAGGGAAGTAATTGAGGACATATAAGAGAGAAGGAAAAGCTGATAAGGCCTTTATATAATGACATTATTTAATGGGGGATAATAAATTATTTCAACAGTAATAACTAAAAGATTAAGATTTAAAATACATCAAAGCTTACCATGTAGTAAGCATTATTAACAGTTGCATATAAAATATCTTATTAATCTCTAATACAACCTTATTAGAGAGGAACTATTAATTCCAGGTTTCAGATACTGAAATATAGAGGCAGTATATAACTTAGCCAAACTTGCGTCACTCCTAAGTGGCAGTGCTGGGACTTAATCTATGTTTGCCTAATGTTATTGCTCAAGTTTAAGTACAATGTGATTTATTTAAAGCTCAAATAAAAAAATCAAAATAATCTACAATGCAAATTTCTACATTAGCATATATGATTAAAAATAAACATGTGTTAAGAAAATGTGTTCTTATCTGATACATAAGATCAATGCTACATTTAAAGATTTGGGGGAAGTAAGCCATAACTATGAGAAGAAATTAAATAAACATAAATATAAAACTTATTTTTAACTTCCTTGATACACTCATATATTTCTCAAGCCATCAATCCTTGTTTTCTAAATATGTATTTCCTAAATTTCTAGGAAGTATGTTCAAAAACTACTATTATTTTATAAAATGAGCTGGAATTATTGTGTAGTCTAATATTAAACTATTTAGGATTAGCAAATTCTAATTCACTACTTCAGCTATTTAGGATTAGTGAATTCTAATTGTTTGTCCTTCTGTCCATCCGTCTAATAAATATTTACTAATTCTCTATTTGGTACCATGTTCTAAGCTAGGCCATTATGACACAAAGATGAATGACTCTGGTATTGCTTCTACCTTCATGCAGCTTTCAGAGCTTAGAAAAAGTAATAGAGATGTTTTGCTAGGAACTTTAACATGATAAACTTTATAATAAAAGCTTCTGTCTGGATCTTAGAGAATGCAGAGGAAGGAGTGTGAATCTCAGATTGAGCTGAAGCATATAAGGCATCTAGGAGACAACTTGTATGTAGTTCTAAGTACTAAGAAGGAAACCACAAGGGCTACAGGGGAGGGATTTCCTGGTGGCAGGACACATGGACAAATAAATGAAAACACAAGTACACGTATGTCCCAGGACCTACAATGTCTACTGCACAGTGTAGAAGGCTGTGCGGAGGGAGGGAGAAACAGCATTAGGAGGGGAAACTACAGAGTGATATAACAGACCATCTAGGGCCTTGAATGTCATGCAAATTTTAGACTTTATCAAATAAGCAAGAGGTCACTGAAGATTTGAAGTTCAGAAATGACAACATAATATGTATTTATTAGAAGACGTAGTTGGCAGAATTTTACTATTATTAATGGTACAAAACTTACTAAAAATTCTGAATAATACCAAATTATCCAAGAGGTAAATGTTAGCATAACACAAAAATACTCAATTCATTTCTACAAAAGTAGAAACTAATGTTCAAAGAGGTTATAATAGAATGCATGAACTCTGATTTCTTTGGTAGATAATTTCTTACCTAAAAAATTAGAACCCTGGTCTCTGACTCCTTATGTAATTTGTTTTTCAAACACACCCAGATACCTTTTTCAAACTACAGTTACTAGGTTATGTGCTCTTTATCTCATGATACTTAAAGTCAAAAAATGTTTCATTAATCTTTTGGCTCCTTTGGGATTCCACTAATGATATGTGATGGGTCTAGAAAGGTAGGAAGGTTCCTGCAAGCCATATTGATAACTTGTAGATTCAACATAATTTCTATGGAACACCATTGAACAGGAATGAATGGGCCAATAAATTTATATATGAAAAGTTATATCTGGCTGAACTACAGACTGCATAGGATGGGAACAGAGATAAAAGAAAACAAGTTAAGAGCCTTTTAGTGGTCCGGGAGAAAAAGACTGATGCACTTTTGAAAACAGAGTGGTATCAAGGAATTACAGCTAAGACATATAAAAGACTAAGGATTTCAGGATTTGTTCTCATTATTTTACTTATATTAACTTATTTTAAAATACAGTAACCATATAAGGCCCAGTACTATTATTACCTTCAATTTATAAATGAGTAAATTTAGGCAGAGCAAAATTAAGTAACTTCAAGTTTGCACTGCATGGCATATAAGATTTGAATTGGGGAAATGAAGAGATTTGAGGAGAAGCATTTCGGCAATCATGCTATTTAGTAGAGCATTTTAGGTGATAGATTGTGTTAATTATCAAACACAGGCTAAGGTATAACAAATCACCTCAAAATTTAGTGGCTTAAAACAACAATATTTACATTTTCTGTGGGTCAGCAATCTGGGCATGGTTTAGTTGTGTCCTCTTGCTCATGGTTTCTCACAAGCCTGCAAACAAGTTGCCATTGAAGTTATCATCTGAGGTCCTGACTAAGGAAGACTACTTCTAAGCTCACTCATGTGGTTGTTGGCAGGATTTGGACACGGGAGGCCTGTTGGACTGGGGGCTTCAGTTCCCTCATTAGCTTCCCTTGTTACTTTCTATGTGGACCTTTGTAGAGCAATTCAGAATATGGGGGCTTGTTTATCAAAGCATGCAAGCAAGATGGCAAGAAAAACAGTGCAAGCAAGATGGGAGCAATAGTCTTTTGTAACCTAATTTTGGAATTGACAGCCCATCATTTATTTCATATTCTACTCATTAGAACCAAGTTATTAAGTCCAGCCCTCACTTAAAGAGAGGGGACTCCACAAGGGCATAAATACAAGGATATAAGGTCGATTAGGAACCACATAGAAGCTGTCTACAATGTAACATGAATTGATTTTATGATTGATTACATGTGAAGTATGTGGTAGAGGGCAGAATCAAAGAGTACTCCTTAAAATGATATACAATGATGGCATATTCAGTGGCTAAAATTTGAGAAAGCTTATGTCTTCACCGTGATGTAGGAAGTATATTTATTCACTGTCATCAAGGCAGCAATTATCAGGGATTTGAGCAGAGTAGACAATGAGAAAGGAAACTGAGTAATTAAACCTTGTAGGAGGAGGGTTTAGCAGGTGGATGGTCTGATTGAGTACATGGCTCTTTGAACTTTTAGTTAATATTTCCACTTGTGGGTCTTCTAATTTACATCCTGGCAAGATGCAGATAAGAAAGTGGCTGCTATTTGGATTCATTCAGGGTAAATTTGTTTCCAGGGCTGTGGGATAAATTACAGTAATAGCAAAAGGTTTGTTGTGGTAAATCTGAACCTTGGATCATAAAAGCGGTGGATATAGGAAGGTTGATAAACACAGGCAAAGTAGAACTTTCAATGGAATCGAATTAGGATGGACTTGAAGGACAAATATATGGGAGGTACATTAGTGAGCAAGTTCTGAGATAGAATGTTTACATGTTATTGCCATGTACGATTTATGAGTTAAATAATTTTCAGGTAATTTCAGAGGGCATTTGTGGGAATGGATGAACAACATGAAGGAGAAGTAATAATTATGGTAGATGAACTTTAAGAAAGTGAAGAAACAGAAAAACTGGGTGTGGGATCATCATCCTCACAGATGTTGAAGTCATTCAGGATCTGGCAGGACTTCTGATGACTTTTACTACATAAAGGTGGTGTCAAATGACAAGTATGCCTGTAGATGAAACATGCTAGATTGCACTGTTAATGCAAATATATTCTTGGAGAGAAAAAACAAACATCCTTAGGTTCTTTATGATTTCTTTTATATTTCATTTTTTTACAACAAGTTTTGGGGTAATTTGTTACACTGTAATAGAAAACTAATATGCTCATTGGCCTTTCCCATCTTATTGAACTTCTACATATATGTCTGTCTTGAATATGATTTGGTTTTGTATGTTTTTGACAGTCCCTTTATTCTGACAAGTTCTCCCTGAAGAGACAGTTAGTTGGTACATTCTCCATTATTTTCCTTCACCTTACCTTTCTAGGTTATTTTCTGTTGCAAAGCCCTGATTCAAGATCCAGAAATGACTCACTTTAGAGCCAGCAGGACCCTCTCTGAATTACTGCCTCAGTTTTCTTTCCTGGCTGACAGTTCCTATCAGGTTAGATTGGACTAGTCTTTGAGTTGTTTCCAAGAAATGAGAATAATTTATTAGGATGTTAATTAAACAGCAAAGGAACACCTCCTTGTTGTAATAGTGCTTCAAGATTTTAGTTGAAAACTTAGCACTTCTGTCTTTTGAAGTATAACCTGAGGTTTTCCATTTTCTGGAAGGTCAGGTTTTTTTTCAGTGAAAATTATTTTAAGTGTTCCTTATACTGGGTACTTTCAGAAAAAATAGGAATTTGAGAAAACAGTTTGCTGTGGGAAAAATGTCTTTTTAGGTCTTCCTATTTCCTGAACAGTCTTCAGCCTTCACAGCATCACCCTTACAAGTATGGCTAAAGCAACAAATGCAGGGCTCACTGGCATTGAGTGGTCCAGTCCATTTTTTTTTTAATATTCCTGATATATAAGAAATGAAGAAATGCTCCAGATAAAGGTTACAAAACTGTGATATATTTTCAATGCTGACATTGAACATTTATGCTTTTAAACACACACAAATAAAAACATGTAATGACTTATACTTGGAGATAACATAAGAAGCATAGATTTTGAGGCCCTTTGTCAAAATAAGGCCAAGGCCAAAAGCTCTCCTTTGATCTTTCTATGATTCTTCTGTCTTTACAAGTGAATTTTCCCTCATAAAGGCTGAAAATCAGATCCCTCTCAAGAATATGTAAACTTTAATGTGGTGCCTTAAGATTACTCAGAGAAATGAATCTCTAATGATAGAATGTCATATGATGAGATCAATATTTGTTGGGTTTGGTCTAGTGCCTCTCTGAAATCATTACATATGTTTACCTCACTTGCCAATTAAGGCAAGTGAGATTTTATTTTATAGAAGGTAGCTATTTCATTGAGTTGTCTTTGCATATGATGTAATATTAAAATATAACTTTTACAAACTACCATTATTAATGATTTTTATGGGCAAAATTATTTAGAATGTTCTTATGCAGAGATGACCAGTTTATGATAGACATTCAAAGCCATCGAGATGTTCTCTGTCACTCTCATAGGTCGCTAATGATTATCATTTCTTTAGTTGGGGCTGTGTTTCTTGAAATCCTGGAAAAAGGATCAAGGCAAATGATCGCATTCAGCAAGATAAGTATTCTAAATAAAACTAATTCTAGTATATTAATTAAACTGTGTATGGATCCACTCACCTAGGCTTCATTTTATACCTCAAATAATCTAAATATTTATTTGTGTAGTTTAGTAATCAAACTGCCATGATGACAACTGTAACATAAATTTGATTAAGTGGTAATATATATCTTTAGTCTAACGATGTTTATTTTAACTTATCTTAAGATGAAAACATATGATAATTGCTTTCTTAAATTTATGACTGCTTGACAAGTATGTGTTCTAATATGAAACTGCAGTGTTGAGATTTCATCTAGCTTTCCAATTCTACAGTATGGTGGCTTCAAAGCTTCAGAAAATTTCAGAGCATGTCTAGGAAAAAAATTATATGGAATGTTACCTACAAAGTCAAGATCTCTAGATTTGTATTTATCTATGTCCACCTGTCTTTGCTCTAAGAGAAACAGAAAATAGATATAGATATATTTCTAACCATAAACTACATTTATTTCAAATGATAAAATATATTTTTATATGATAGCACTTACATAAAAGTACTACTAGTAAGCATTCATAAATGGTAGATATTATGATAAATGGCTAATTGTTATTATAGTATACATTTCTTAATAACAAAAGCCATAATTCTCTAATAGTATCACTCAAAGTTCCTTTTGATTAGAAAGTCTGTAATATTTTAACATGCATATTATATTACCAAATATGCTTATGAGAAGTCAATGAAAATTATGATTTTTTCATATAAGGGTTCAAAAATTCATAAGCTAAATGCCTTTCCTAAAATAAGGACAATCCTTGGACTTCACCATCTAATCTAATAGTGACTCATTAGAAAAAATGTAGGTAAGACCATACATAGAATGACCAGGAAGCAAGCAGCCTGGTATACTAAAAAAAAAAAAAAAAAAAAAAAAAAATTAGGATTTGCACTCAGACATACAAATTTAATCATGTCTTTGCAACTTACTTGTTCAGGATAGCCTTCAACAACTCAATGTTCTTTATTCTCAGTTTTTGACTTTGTAAATTAAAGATCAAATACCTATACTTCATTGGTTTGCTGCAAAGATAAAATGAGCTAAGTTCTTTCAAGTATCTAGTAGTTTGCTTGGATATAGGAAACATCCATAAAATACCTGTTATTATAATTACTATTATATTAAGAATCAAATGCAATTATGTATGTTGCTTTTCACTCGGCAAAAAAGCAACAAAAAACCTCTACAAAATACAGTTCACACTTTTGTTTAATATTAAAAAAATCTATGTCTACACAAAGATAAGTTTAATAAACTTAACTACATTTTCACATGAAGCTAAAAGTGAAATGGGTAAGCTATCAATTATTACATTTATGCCAAAAGTGAAACTTCATTTCACAACGCAGAGTACTAAACACTATACGATCACGGCGTGAAACTTCATTTCAATGAAGACAGAGCAAATTATAAATTAAGATTCTATGCCACGACTGGAGTAAGATCATAGAAATGGCAGAGTTCAGAACTTCAAGAATTGATCCCTCTATTAAAGCAAAAATTAAGCTGGCAAAAACTGACAGAATCAACCTTTCTGGAACTCTGGAATCCAATCAAAAATAGAAAACAGAAGAGTGCTTAATGAAGAAAGAAGGTTCTAATGTAAAGTAAGAAAGCATTGTGATGTTCTGGTTCATTCTCCTATAATCTCCTATTCTCTAGCTTGGATACAACATCTAAATGAAGATCCACTAGGAAATATAGAACTTGAACAACACTGTAAACAGTAGACCTCGTAGATACATATAGAACACTTCACCAAACAGCAGAGTGCACATTCCTCTCAGGTGCACTTGGAAGAGTCTCTAGATAGACCATATGTTAGGCCAGAAAACAAGTCTCGATAAATTTTAAAAGGTTGAAATCATACAAAGTGCTTTCTTTGACCACAATAGAATGAAGGTAGAAATCAATAAATTAAGGAATGAAGCTAGAAATCAATTAAGAAAAACTAGAAAATTCTCAAATATGCAAAAATTAACCAACAAAAAGAAAAACAATCCAATTAAAAAGTGGTCAAAAGACTTAGTCACTTCACATAAGAAACATGAATGGCTGAGAAGCACCTAAAAAGATGTTCAACATCATCAGTCATTAGAAGAATGAAAATCACAATCACAATGAGATACCAATTCACATTCACTAGGATAGTTATAATAATATTTATTTTAAAAAGGAAAATAAGTATTGGAAAGATGTAGGGAAATTGCAACCCTTATACATTGCTGGTGGGAATGTAAAATGGTTCAACTGCTATGGCAGAGGTTGACAGTTCTTCAAAAAGTTAAATATGGAATTACTATAACATCCAGCAGTTAGCTATTCCTAGGCATATACCCTTAAAATTGTAAACAGATACACAAATACTTGTGTATTAACATTTATAGAACCATTATTCCCAATAGCCATATATTCATTAGTAGATGAATGAATAAACAAACTGTGGCATATAGAATAAAATGGAATTCAACTATTTAAAGAAATAAAGTACTGATACTTGCTACAAAGTAGATGAACATAGAAAATGTTATTTGAAGTGAGAGAAGCCCATGACAAAAGGCCGAATACTGTATGAATCCATTTGTATTTATCTAGAATAGGTAAATCCATACAGACAAAAACACATTGGTAGTTGTCAGAGGCTAAGCGGGGAAGGGAATGGAAAGTAATGGCTGAATGGGTATAGGATTTTATTTTGGCATGATTAAAATGTTTTAGAACTAGATAGAGGTAGTGGTGATTGTACAACATTAAAATATACTGAATTTGTCACTGAATTGTTCATTTTTAAATGGTTAATTTTATGTTGTGTGAATTTCGCCTCAATTAAAATAGCAGTCCTTTAAAAGGTATCATTACTGTCCAAATTTTGAGACATAAACAAAACCTATTCACATTTTAAAATGCTTTTACTTTTGAAACCTACATGTTTTTGTGAAAATTGTGTTTTAATGTCACATTTCATGGTAATGCCTGTTAACATCCACACTACAGTTTTTTTTTTTTTGCATTTGGAAAACAATGTTGTGCCTCACTTTGTATAAAATAATAAACTCTACTGTAGTATTTTAAAATATGTTTAATTATTTCAGTGGTAGAAAATAAAAATCCTCAAATTTCTAAACTGTATTATTTCCCTGAACTATTCAAAATCTTTGGTATAGTGTTAACTAGAATATTATAAACTGTACTTCTCATCTGAGTAATTATGATCTCATGTGCTTTTGGAAACTTTATCTAATTTTGGCAATAGTATCCCATTGCATATTTTAAATGCTCAATGCTAGGTAAATATGAAAAAGAAATCAATAGTTTTTTCCCTTTTTATAATATTTACAATGTTATCCACCAGCAGGTTCTATTTCAGTCTCTCTGTTATTAAAGGAGAGAATAGACTCAATTGCAAGCAATTAGCCAATACCACCCAAACTTTACTTTCATGTTTCATTAACAGAATTAAATATGTTGAAGGTGTGATTAAATAATGTACCAAAAAATTTCAGTTGTGTTTTGTCCTTCTTGCTATGAGACTAAAATAACAATAGGTAGTCTCCCTTTTTAAACTCATGAAGGTATCTCCACATTAGATTCCAAATCTGAGAACTTTCCTAATGGGTATTTTGAGTTACAGAGCCCAACCAACAAACTTATCTTCTACTACTTGTAGATACATATCTAAGGTCTATTTGGATGACAAAGTCAATAACAGGACATTTAAGAGTCACAGCTTTGAAAACAACATAAAGCATCATGGGCCGTGCTAGACATTTAAATGCAAGAGCCATTCTCTTCAAAGGACTATGAAGACTTGGAACAAAACATCAGTAAGAAATACAGAAATGTTTAATTTGCTTTAAAGAATATATTACATTTTGACATTTCATTGTTGTAAAGTGAAATATTTATTAACTACAAGGGTATAATATTTAAAGCACATGTCTTAGAAGCAAGACACTGTATTTCTAAGTTTTTCCATGTTTGTTAGAAAGGCACATTGCTATACATGTATTTTTTAACTGGTTTGTTGCTTCATTCAACATTATATTTTCTTGGTTATTTTTCTAGTAGAAAAGAAAATGCTTAAAGGTACAGATGGCCTCCTTTTTCTCTTCCTTTTAGTCTCTCAATGTCAAGTTATTACTAAAATTTAAAACCACCCTTTTTGTAGTCCCTATTTCAAAAACTTATTGGGGCAGCTTTTGCCTATATGCTCTTAGCTAGGTTGAAAAAAGGCCTGATGACCAGTGAGCATAAGGAGAAACAATGAAGAAATTCAAAAACATTTACTTAAAGACTATTACTAAAACATGATAACTTAAGGATGAAAATAACAGGTCAGATCACTGGAAAATGAATATCAATAGCTCTTATTTTCTCATTTTATACCAATTAACTTTTATATGGTGCTGTTGGACTCAGATACTAAACGTTATGTATGGCTACCTAATGTTGTTTCCTTTTTCAAAGGGCAAAATCATTTACAGTTCTAATATGCTACAATGAGATAGCGATATATTCCTTTATCAGAAAATGTGTTAAATAGCTGAAGTGGGCAGTCTGAAGTAGAATAACAGGTTAACAATAATTTCCAAGAATTAACATGAAAACTTGTCTTAAAACGTAAATGTAAATTAAAAATAGTAAAATGTATATTCCCCTTTTTCTTTTCAGCAGTCATTCCTTTGTACTCTGGATGCCGAATGTTGCAATACTGTCTGCCCGCGAACCTTTCCATTCTTACAGCAAATCACTCGTCCATAAAGACAGACTGTAGTGATTCTAATGCTTCTGTAAAATATCTACTTATTGGCACTGTCATCAGAATAAATTTAACTTTATTTTAAATGCTGCAAAATGTAAATCTCTAATTATTTTACATTTCTGGACATGGGGTATTAGAATTATGATTGCTATATAATGTATTTTCTAAAGCATCAGATCATTAGCAATTTGAAGAATGATTAAATAATTACCTATCAAAAGCCATGGTAAATGACAATTTTAATAGTGACACAAAGCCTTCACTAAATTATGTTGAGGTAAATATATTTTATGTTTACAGTCTTGAAATCCCTAAGCTCAAAATTACAGTAATCTCTATTGTGTTTTGTTTCTTGTTCATTGATTATCCCTTAGCCTAGAACACAACCTTGGAATATGACATTAAAATAGTTCAGGGATATGTGTGTGTAGAAATATATGTATTTTTTTCCCATTGGAAATATACATATATATTTTTTCCGCTGAAAAAAAAATATATTTCTTTTTCCCACTGGAAATATAAATATAGATTTTCCACTGGAAATATATATATATATAGAGAGAGAGAGAAATAGATATAGATATATTTTCCACTGGAAATATATATTATACATAAAATATATATTTTTATTATATATAAATATGTAAATATAAATATATTTTTATGAAGAAGAAATATTTGTTCTCATAAACCTAAACCATGTGAAATAGCTCCCTTAAAATTGAATAACAAAGTTTTTTTGAAAATGCCTGAACATGGCCTTTATTTCATACAAACTGCAGAAATATTTAGTTCTTTAGAAGACAATACTATTCACTTTTGGTTAAAAGATGGTAAATTAAATTAAATCAAGGACAAGAAATACTTTATGCAGTCCTCTAGAAGTTAAAGCCTATGGACTTATATTAAAATGAAAACGTTTTTACTAAATGTCATTTTAAGAGGTTAACTTTTCCTTTCAATTCTCAGTTCTACACATCCAATGTCATGAGAATGGATGTATAAATGAATGGCCGATTAGATAATTTTCCAAATGGATAATCAATGAAATCTGAGCTTGTTGATTGGTGTGCAGTTGAGTGAGCATTTATAGGCTCGACTCCTGCCACAAGTGACCTATTGAAATGACCAGTAGAGGTTTTTCTAAATACAATACCATTGTTGTTTTTATTAGAATGATTTCTATCATTTTAATACGTGTCACACTGAATAAATTTATGCACATTTATTCATGTCGAAAGGAAAAATTAATGTTGTGATGTTGACTCCTTGATGAAGTTTTTGAAGCTCTTTACAATGAACATTAATTAGTACTTTCTAATGGATCAGAAATTTAGATTTGATCCAAACCACTAATTTATTCATGTAGTTAAAATGATATATTAGAGAGCTAAAACAATATTTGTGTTTTTCACACATTTATATTTAATCATTTGATTGGAAAGAAAGGAAGAGGGAATGGCGAGGATAATCATCTTTAGCTTCAAATCTATTTTTAATGAACTTTTACTCCCTCAAGAGTTATTTATCATTCTTCACAGGCTAAGCTTTTATTTGCCATTTTATAAAATTAGAAGTACTCCTTTTTTTTTTAGCCAAAAATATACTGAGACATCAGTTCTATAATCTGCATTAATTATTTTTTTCTTTCTTTTTTTTTTTTTTTTTTTTTTTCTGAGACTGAGTCTCTCTCTGTTGCCCAGGCTGGAGTGCAGTGGTGAGATCTCGGCTCACTGCAAGCTCCGCCTCCCGGGTTCATGCCATTCTCCTGTCTTAGCCTCCCGAGTAGCTGGGACTACAGGTGCTTGCCACCACGCCCGGCTAATTTTTTGTATTTTTAGTAGAGACGGGGTTTCACCATGTTAGCCAGGATGATCTTGATCTCCTGACCTTGTGATCTGCCTGCCTCGGCCTCCCAAAGTGCTGGGATTACAGGTTTGAGCCACCGTGCCCGAATGATTTCTTATATTGCTTTCAATCATTAAGGTTTTTTTTTTAATGCTTTAATTTGGATTCTTTGCAACTTGTTCTTTAGGTGAAATTAAAATAGAAGAAAATCCCTTTGCTGTTTAAAGCTTCAGGCTAAAGAACCTCAGCTTATTTAGCCAGTTCATCTAAGACTCACCTTACCTTCTTTATGTAATTTTAAAACATACAATTATGTTGTTACTGTCTATAGTCACCTACTATGTACCCACATTTTTAAAAAATAACTTAAAACATTTAGTAAAAGACTCACCTTACCACACCACACTTGTTCAAGTTCTCTCTTAATTAAAACTCTACACATAATTCACAATACATAATAGTACCAGCAGAAAAAAAGCTGTTAATACTGGGGTCTTATTTAGTGCAAATAAAATTGATGTTGGGTAGGTACAGGTGTGCAAAGGACACTGATGTGGGCTTCACATGCCTCATCTTTAAAATATGAAATAAAAGAAACATAATGCTTACAGAAAACAAGTGGTTTGGATCACAACCAAGCAACTGCATGTGAAAATATTTTATTAGTTATGAGACTATGAAAGTATCGTTTTAATGTATATATGTATATGCATATATGCCTATCAATAAGGTATAATATTAAATGTTAAGAAAGTGTCAAACAAGTATTAGAATTGTGATGTCACATATCTTATATTTCCAAATATACCCCAAACTTTTCCAAATTTTTATATTATAATCCTTTTAGTTGTTTATTCATTTTTCCAGTAAGAATTAATTTAGCATAATATAGAATCCTAAATAATTAGTAATGTTTAGCAATTTAAACAGATATACAAAAGCGTGGCCAGGCACAGTGGCTCATGCCTGTAATCCCAACACTTTGGGAGGCCAAGACTGAAGGATCACTTGAGGTCAGGAGTTCAAGACTAGCCTGGCCAACATGGTGAAACCCTATCTCTACTAAAAATACAAAAATTAGCTGGGCATCACAGCGGGTGCCTGTATTCCCAGCTATTCAGAAGGCTGAGGCAAGAGAATCACTTGAACCTGGGAGGCAGAGGTTGCAATCAGCTGAGATCACATCATTGCTCAAGTCAATCATAAAGTACACAACTGTTCAAAATAGAAAGAGTAGTGAACTGTTAAGAAACTAATATGCTGAAATACATAGGAATCTAATTACTGTTAAATAGTGCTGTGGTTTTAAACTGCTTCAGTAATACTCAATGCTCTATTAAGTCAGACGTCTCCCATGTTAAACTGGCATATCATAATATTTAGTTTTACGCTTTTGGCAGAAGTCTTTCAACGAACAATAAGAATACAATTTTTTTCTTAGAATCATGTTAATTTGCATATTTTGAAATTTGGATTCTGGAAAGGGTAACACAAATGATTTGATTTTTTCTGAAAATCTTTTCCTTCTTTATAAAAAGTTTTCTTTTCAAATTAATCCTTAGATATTTATTATAGTGAATAGGAATGTTAACTACCGAATACTAAATTGCTGAGATCAACTTAAAAACTTTCTGGTTTTGACTCATTGACATTTGTATATCTGTGTACATTTGTTTTAATTGATTTTTAAAATAATATCTTTCCAATTACTAATGACCATAAATTATTTTACTGACATTTATTTTGAAAAATACTTCAAAATACTTTGTATTTTAATTTTAAAACAGTTGGATGTTAAAATGCAATATTTTAATCAAGAAGAAATATCATGAGAAAACATTAGTAATGAAGAAGGTAAGAGCTATAGAAAGATGAGGCTTCTATTATTTACAAAGCTAATCTTTAATATATGATTATTTTTTTCTGACATACATAAATACCACCATTATAAAACAGTTTTAAAGTTAGTTTTAATAGATTGCTTTCTTATATTGCTTTTCAAAGAGAATAATGAAAAATAACCCCTAATAAATATTATTATTATTCAAATCACATTTGGCCACCAGAGCCATTATTTCTTAAATCATTATACTCTGGAAGAATTGACAGAAATACAATTTCTCAATTTAGGTTATGGAAATTACTTTCAGAAATAGACATTAAAGGATTCCAAAAATTTTAAAAATAGCTATCAAAACAGCAATCAGTGGAGCAAAGCATATTCTTGTAAAAATCAGCTCATGAATGCCATCTGCTTTGCAATAGGATCCTGGCTTAAACACTAGAACAAAAAGATTTTAATAAGAAGTTTGCCTATTACTAAAAACTTTCTAAAATTGTTGAACAAGTCTAAGGGGATGAAATAGCTTCAACAATTAATAGCCTATGTACTTTTAAGGCCACAGAGAGGTGATAACATTTTAATTGTAGCTAATTTTTTTTTAGCACAAAAAGTAGTGTGTACTATCATTGCCAAAATGTGATATTTCTTAAATATACAAACTAATTTTTTTGATAGAAAAATCACTAAGAAAACTCTTATACTTTAAGATACATAAATCTTGAAATAAATTAGGTACCTACTAGCTCTAAACAAATTCTTGGAATTTACATTGCTATGCAATAGATAATGTCACTTTTCTCCCCGACTCTGTAGAGAGCATGCTACACTAACCTTCCTGATTGAAGTTATTGATCATCTGGGGTAGGATGTAAATCAGTCTCATTGTGCAGAAGAAAGAGAAAGGGTGTAAGGAAGGCATTTTGGAGCTCTGGTTTATGGAATTGTCATAAACATGGTACTAGAGATAATCCATAGATACACAAAAATACTAGATGGAAATAAATGGAGAAAGTGTAGTGTGGTCCATGTACGAAATGGAAGAAAAGCACAGAGGAAACAGAAGTAAAAATTGTAACACTGGGCTGGGTGCGGTGGCTCACGTCTGTAATGCCAGCACTCTGGGAGGCCGAGGCGGGTGGATCACCTGAGGTCAGGAGTCCGTGACCAGCCTGGCCAACATCTCTACTAAAAAGCACAAAAAATTAGCTGGGCGGGGTGGCAAGCACCTGTAATCCCAGCTACTCGGGAGGCTGAGGCAGGAGAATCACTTGAACCCAGGAGTTGCAGGTGAAGTGAGATCGTGTCATTACACTCCAGCCTGGGCAACGGAACAAGAATCCATAAAAAAAAAAAAAAAAAAAAAAAAAAAGTAACATTGAATTACACAAAATGAATAGTGGGAGGATGAATACGGTTTTGTTAGCTTTTGCTTTGTTTTTATTTTTTGTTTCATGTGGGAGTGAGGGATTTATGAATCCTGCAAAATTGAAAATTATTTGATGGATAAAGAGGTCCTTTGGCTCATTAATTAATCAAGTTAAATTATTATTATAGAGCACCTATTATGAGTCAGGTATCTTTCTGGACACTGGGTATACAGCAGTAAAGATATTAAACAAAAACCCATAAATTTTGGTGAGGGAGGAAAGACAATAAATAAAATAACAACAACAAAAACAGATATAGTATCTTAGATGATGATAGGCAAAATGGAGGAAAATAAAGAAGGCCATAGAGATAGAGTACTAATTTAAGACAGGTCAGTCAAGAAGACCTCATGACTCAAAAAAATAAATTCAAAAATGGCTACCAGGTATAGGAGTCGGCAATTTCCAGAGAAGCAACATTACATACTCCAAAGAATATGAAAGATACAGTTACCGGAACTTTTGAGAATTATTTCTACCAACCCATAAAGTAAAGCTCTTTAATGATAGTTGGTGACTTTTTACTGAAGAAACACAGATATTTGCCAAATGTCCATCTGAGAAAAAGAGAATCCACATTGCTGGATATCCACAATTGTCAGACTTGGTGATGGGAAGGTAATAAACCTTATTCACTTAATCTTTACAAATAAACCTTTGATCATTCTGATTCTACCCATTTTTAACTCTCTCTTACATAAAATATTCCAAATGAAGAAGAGTTCTACTGATAAATTAATAAAAATCACTGTCCACATGCCACCTTTCATTAAAATGTACACTTCTTCCTGTGCTTTTGCTAAATCATGATGAAAATACAGTATTACTAAGTCATACCTAGGGAGCAAGCTTAAACCCAGAAGAAATAAATTCTGACTGTGTTTGTGTCTCTTGGGATTTTTTTTTTCTGTGGAGTAAAGTGAAAGATTTAAGGAAACAGGCGGTAATGTTTTTCCATTTTTACTCAGAGCTAAACAATTAAATTTGTAAGAGTAAGTAGGCTGCAAGATAAAACTGTCCGGTTACGTAAATGTCAACAAATAAAATTTGATATCAGACTGACAGGGTCTTGAAAAATACCCAAAACAAATAAAATATCATTCCATATTTGGCTGTGAGCAAACAAAAAGTACAATATAGTGCTTGGATATATTTTATGGGTCGAATTTTGTCTCCTCCAAAAAAATGATATATTGGAGTCTTAACCCTTGATATCTCAAAATGTGAACCTATTTGAACATAGGGTCTTTACAGAGGTAATCAAGTTAAAATGAGGTCATTAGAGTAGGCCTAAATCAATATGGTAGTATCCTTATAAAAGGGAAATTTGGGAACAGAGGTAGACACATACAGAAGGAATACATTTCTGTTGTTGAAGCCACCCAGTTTGTGGTACTGTTATGAGAGCGCTAGCAAACTGATACAATGCATGAGCAATAACAACAAAATGATCCTAGTGGTAGGAAGTCAAGCATGAAACCTGCCTCTCTGATTCATCCTGTACCTTTACAGTTTATCACCACGTCTGGAAAAGAGTAATGAATAAGGTAATGAGTGAAAACAAGCAAGAATTGAATTTTAAAAACGTATAAACCTAATTGATGGAGATTTAAACTGGAATTTTAAGGACAGAAGAGGAAATGCCAAGATTTAAAAAAATCAAGCATGACACTGAATTAAGAATAAATAATTAGGAAATGTTTAATATGTCTCAGCAGAAACTAATAAAAGGATAAGAACTATGAAATATAGAGTCAGGGCACGGGTTTAGTAAGGAGCCATCATAAAATCACTAGACTACTCGGGGACTTGTCTTATCTGTAAGGGCTTGCTAGTAGCTAAACACCATTCAACCTGTATTCAGTGTTTCAGATGCCTATATAAAAATAAACAAAGTGAAAGTGATACTTTAAATAAGGGACATATTAACTTAGATTATCAACAAGACTTGCTAAGATTTCATTGTCCAAGTACAGCAATGAAAAGATAAGCAGCCAGAGTCTTTTCAATATAAATCTTTTCCCATTCCTTCTATGATTATAATCTTCCCTTTAATAAATTTATTCAATCAATGTTGAGCACCTACTTCATGCCAGGCACTAGTCAGGCATTTAGGACTATAGTGGCAAGAGAAGCAAAATTCCTGCTCTTGTAGAGCTTATATTCTACTGGAGAAGAAAGATAATATTCAATTAAATACACAATATAATGTATTTAATAAGTAATATATACAAATTTAGAGGCAGAAATAGAGATTTATAGTAATAAGCAGACTTCTTTAGAGAACAAATTAAGAAAAGTCTCTCTGTGGAGGTAAAATTTGAGCAGAAATCTGTATGTAGGAGTCAGCATACGTATATCTGGGGAGATAGAGGCACAGACTCGTGCCCTGGGTGGGGGCAAGGTTGGCCCATCCAAAGAACAGCATGGCCTGTGGTCGGAGCAGAGTGAGGAGGGGAGAAAGTCTGGAGAGTGATCAATGAGGTCATGAAACAAGCAGAGATCACATCACATATAGCCTTGTTAAGAAATTTCTAATATATTTTGAATTTGATGAGATCCTAATAGAGTTTAAACTGTGCTGCAAGTAACATAATCTGATGTACATTTTAGAAAATCACTTAGGAGCTGTTTAGAGAACTGATGGCAGTAAGGGCAAGTGTAGAAGGAGCCTAAGGGCTGTGCACATTGTAAATAAAAGATGATGGTGGCTCTGGTCTATGATCCTCATAGCCACAGGAAGTAAATCCAAACTTTGTAAGGCAGCAGATTAGATCTCCAGTGATCTGGCCCTCACTTGCCTTTCTGATTGTATTTACAGTAAACCCTTTTCTCCCCCTCTTTGCTTTATGTCTGTTCATCAATCTGAAACTTTGTCCATTTATTCCCTCTAGTTACAATGACCTCCATTTTTCTCTCCATGGTCCAGCAGAGGTCTCAATCTTCATGACTCAGACCTCTTCTTTGCAACCTCTCCTGACACTTTCAGGAGAACAGATTGATTCAGAATCTGACAGAGTATAAAACTTATCTTTTACAGTGTATTATGTGTGTCACTGTGTTGTTTCAGTGCCTACTGAGTGGTGTAAGTTTTTTAAATCTTACTGGTCTGTGAAAATTAACAACCTGTAAACTACTGAGCTAGCCTTCTTAAATTCACATCACTATGAATATCCCTAAGAAAATTATTTTTTTAGTATAGTTAATACTTAGTAATTCACACTCATAATTAAGAAATTAATTTATTTACTTTAAAATAGACTCAAAGTATGTCTAGACATTTGCCTAGAAATTATAAAATTCACATCTTAGACTCATAGTCTCTAGAGTGTTAACAACACTGCCTGTGTATAAAATGATCTACCTGTGCATGTAATAAGACAATACCTTTGAATCTGTATACAACTATTCCATATTAAAGAATGCATTTAACTTGACCAACTGGAAAAAAGAACCAATGAATTGTGCTTTGAGGCTCAAAACACCTAGGGTTTTTCAGATTCTGGGTATTATTTGGTAATTCTACTCAACTTCCTTTATGATTAGCTTATCAATATTTCTGACACAATCAGTAATACAACCTTTACAACCCATTGTATCAATTTCCAAGTGGATACATTTCCAAATCCAAAGTGAATACTTTGTGAGGAAAAAAATATTGATAACTTGAGACTCTTTTTTAGCTGAGCTCATTTGAATTAAGGGTACAGGGATACATATTATGTAAATAGTCAATATTCCACCTGGAAAGCCTGTTCTTTCTAATAACAGAAGTCTTCACTATTACTTTGAAAATACTGCCAAAAATCATATTTCAAAGTTGTTCACATAACTCTTTAAGTGAATTTCTAGGCCAAACCTATAAAAATATATACCTACACATTATATAACTAACTTAAAAATCACTTTTCAACTATATTAATAGATTAAATTCTGGAAACAACACTATGCATAAAATAATTCTCTGTATACTGGATGAAATCTCAATACAACAGAGGTTTCCTGATTCTACAGCTATTACCTCCCTCCTTGACATGAAGACAGTTTTAGTTTTAGCTTATACTACTTTGAGAAAAAAAAAAACGTAATAACGCAATTCTACTAGAAAACTAGAAAACATAAATAAATTTATAATTTACTATTATGACCATTGATGTCTATATACCTACAAGTAGACTTACAGTCATATATCATGACATATTTTTCAGCCCACAGCCAGTGTTTAACACATATGGGTCAATGGAAATGTAACACCATCTCAGAAAAACCTACTTAGAAACTTCAGGGTTCAAAACCTAGAGCTCAGTAATCATGCATTAGGGGAACTTCTAATTTGAACAGAAGTCTTGTTCTAAATTGAGCTATTATATCTATCAATCACTTTCTGAATAGTTATGTATATTAGATTTTCTTAAGTAGGAAATATCTGCTTTAGAGCTGATTATGCACATTTCTTATTCTCTGTTATAGAGATCTTCACAGATACATCTGTATATGTTCTTCTCCCCTTGAAGCATACCTATATATTTGAAAATAATTAATTTATATTATTAAAAGAAACATGAAAAATTATTTTTGCTTCTGTGAGCACTAGGATTAAGGTTTACCTGAGTTTAGATTAATAAAGTTGCCAGAAATAAAATAAGCATGGATGGACTATGATGATTATATCACACTTTTATCTGCCTGCCTCAGAAATGTTCTCTTTTGACCAGTAAGTGTTCCAAGCCTTTTAATGAAAACATTCTGGCTGGAAGAAGAGGATACTGACCAGATAATTTCTAAGGGCTTTCCCACTAAACATCCATGGTCTAAATTCATAGTCACCTTTTGCATTATCTGTTTAATGTTTCCTATCATGCCTGAAAATGAATATTAATTATGTTTACTGAAATCACAGCTACAGTTGATATTTGGGAGATTTCGATATAAGAATAAGACTTTCAATTTCATTGTCTTAAAATAATAAACTCATTTTGCTTCACATAATGTGTTTTCTTTCTTTGGTATTTTTAAGTGAATGTATGGTTTCCTACACACACACACACACACAAGCGCACACACACACGTGTGCACACACACACGCACACACACATATACACATATATAGTGTAAATTTCTAAGGCAATAATCTTCACCCTAATCTAGTATTAGGTTTCTAAGGTACCAGGAGCCTGATCGCCTCCTAAAAGTCTGAAAACACATGATTAATAACTCATCCATTGCCTTCCAACTGAAAAGAATCACTCTTACCGTATAGCCCTCGGTATACTGAAAAGGAGCCCTGGAACTTTCGTCTGCTGTTGGACTCAGAGGCTTGGGGTCAGACATAGAACGCTGCATCATCTTGGCTGTCTTAGGACTTGCTGGGGGAACTTTAGCCATATCTGGATGCAGTACTTTCTGTGGACTTATATCATCAGGGAGGGGTTTTTCATAAGGTACAAAGGCTGATTCTAAGGCTTTGCCTGGTGAAAGTGGTGAGATGGGTGAGTAAAGGACTTTGGGGGATTTGGGTGGGGAAGGAGCCAGCTGTACTGTGGAATCTGCCCGGAGGTGAGATGAATAACCAATCTCTAAAGGTGTTGGGCGTTTCTTGTCTTTGGGTGGAGATGTGGCACTCAGATATTGAGGACTTTGTGTGTCTGAATCTGCTTCTGTTTGACATCCTAAACTGCCCCCTTTGTAAGTCTTTTCAGGTGCTGAAATGTGTTTAATTATTTCTACCTTGGCATCCACTCGTGCCCGTATGGAGGGTGTTCTTATGGTTCCAACTGGTTCAGTTTGCACAGATATCTCTGCTACCGTTTGAACTGCTATGCTGGAGACTTTGGAAAGGGGTTTGGTCTTGTCAGCCTCTGTCATGCTGTCACCATATTTCCCTACACGAGCTTTCCTCCTTGATCTAGTAGGCATATCCCACTCATCCTGATCTTCATCATCAGTTTGGACGCTTGTATCCACACTCTTTTTAGTTCTCCTTCTCCTACTCACATAGCTCCGATCTGTGGCATCTTCGTCATCCGTTTGTACACCACTGTCCACTATCTTTTTAAAACTTCGGGGATCATCTGTCATATTTTCTCCCATGTCATCATACTGTCCTCGGACTTTAGCTCCAGAACTTCTCTTTTTGGGTTGTTTTTCCTCTTTCACAACAACATCTGTTAGAGGTATTTCTGAAACAGTGCTCAGGATACCAGGTGGGGCAATGTACTGAGTAACACCATCAGACTGAACGGTGTACCATCCTTGGCTTTGTGGTATTTCAATTGCCACAACAGCTGAAGCTGTGGTGGTTGCATCTTCAGTTGCCCAAAATTGACTGCCTTCCAGAGCAGCATACTGACCTTCCAAAATTGCCTGCTCTGTAGTGGTTTGTGGAGAAGCAGTTCCAGAAGGGTCATAGTTATACTGGTAGATCTGCCGAATCTTTTGCTCCTCCAGCTGCTGGTGAAGCTGTTGTTGCAGCTGTTGGATCTGCTCAAGCTGTAACTGTTGCTGAGCTAACGTCTCCTGCCTCATCATGAACTGGGCTTGCCGCTCTTCTTCTTGCTGAAAGAGAAGGTGTTGCTTCATAGACTGCAGCTCCTCCAACTTTTTCTGAACCATGATCTTTTCTTGTTCTCGGAACCTTTGAATTTCCTGACGTTCCCACTCCAATTCCTCAGCAAAGCGCTGTTGCTTAATTTTCTCCAGTTCCAGGAGCTCACGCTCCAAGTCTAGCTGCTGCTGTTGTTTATCTTCTTCAGGGACAATTAAAAGAGCACTTTCATCTCCCACCACTTCAGGAAACACTTCGGATGCTGTGGTTAAAGTGGGAACAGAGTCTATCGTCTCAGCAGTAAGAGACTCCATAGTAATAGTTTGCAAACTGGCACTGATATCAATACCAGTTACTGCAATGTCCGTTTCAGATGCACCTGTTGTTATAAAATATGATCTAGGCATTGGCTGGCTATGGTGCATGGCAGGTAATGAAGTCACTGCATCAGCCGTATGAATACCAGACAAATCCCTCACTGTGGTGCTGAAAATGGAGCCAGGTTGTGTGGTGATAGCAAATGTAGAGGGTGTTGGAGTTGCTACTGAAGAATAGACAACACCATTAGATGACCTCAAAACACTCCCCACACAATACTGGGGTCCTGGTGGTGGTGTCATTCTTGCTGTGGAATACTGTGGGGTACTAATCCCAGCTCCTGAAATGACTTGTCGTGTTTCTGGATATGGACCTGTAGTCTTGCTTGAATAATCCATTACCTCACCTGAAATACAGGGCAGAGTTATAGTCCAGTTCCCAGAATGAATGATGCTTTTTGAGTTTGAAAACCCTCTCATCTTGATGAACATAATGAATGAGACTGCATGCAAATCCACAGGGTAACCTAATTATATGCGGAATGAAAGCAATGTTGAACATGCAGGCGCATGCAGTGATTTTGAGCAGAACAAATTTTTTTTAAAATGAAGGAACAAAAGCGCACTTGTACTCCAAAATATGCTGCTATAACATCCAAAGAAAGAGAAAAAGTAACAAAACTGGAAAAGAAGCCACATTTTCATCCTGAAATGAGATGAGGAACACCATAATGATATTTCAAGGAAAGGTCTGCTGCCACATCATACTGACCTGTAGTAACTCTCCCTGAAGTCAGATCTACTGCTGTGTCAGTTCCTTCAGAATAATCAAAAGCATTCTTACTTTTATAGAAAAAATGTCCAGCTTCTGCTAAATTTGTGTCAGACATGGAAGGCTTCATTCCCCCAATCCCTCTATAACCATATGGCCCTGATCGATCATACTGATAGTGGTCATCCCTATAACCAAAACGATCCTCAGGAAGAGTAGTTGCAGGCTGCTGTGCTGTGCAGCTCCTTCCAAATGGTAATTTATAAACCACATCACAGCACACAGCTCTTCTCCCTGCGGTTAAATCAACGGGTTTTTCATCTTCTATTATTTTGGTCATCACACTTGAAGTAGACTCATCCATTGTTACGACTGTTCTGTGAGACTTGGTTGTACTGAGATCCACTACTTCCCCATCAGTGATTCCCTGGGATACGGTGCTATCAGTCCATCCATTTGTGACACCAACAGGAGGCACAGTGACAGGTTTTGTAATAGCCAATGTCACTGCATGTGCTGGAGTACCTAGAGATAAGTTTATTGGTGCTTCTTCCCTAGCTATAGGAAAGACCTGGTCACTTGGTATCCTGTATGGGGGCTCAGCATGCTTTGATGTTGTAAGTTGGAGTGGTGTTGTCATTGCATGTTCTGCACCCACTAGGCTTTCTGTGCCTGTAGTGTAACTTGCACTAGCTGTGCATGTGACAAAGGTCACTGTCTCAGTGGCCAGAGATACAGGAGTCACTATTGATGATGTCACACTAAGATTTATAATAGAGGGTTGGACAGCACTAATTTGTTTCCCATAAACTTCATTTGCTGTGATCTGCCTTTTCACATCCATTGTAGAAGCAGAAAGATCAATACATTTATCAGTTGTTTTAACTTCTACCTTTGGTACTGTACGCAAATCAATTACATCACCAACAAGTTGCAATTTTCCATCTTCTTTATACTGAGGCTTCTCTAAATGTATGTTATCTAGAGCAAGAGGCTCTGGAGGAATTGTTATGGAAATGCTGCTGAGACCAACACTAGGAGCTGTACTTCTGGTTGCTGAAACCTCAGTCTTGGAAACTTCAGTAGTGAGAAACTGTGTAACTGATGTGGGAGCTGCTTGAAATGAAGAGGGTGCTGTGACAGGGGTAGCAGAAAATGTCTGTAAAGCTCCAGAGATGTAGAAGGTCTGTTCTGAAGAAATTGGAATTTCTACAGCTGTCACAGGAGGAACTACAGAAAACACAGGTTCAACAGAAACCAGATCTTTGGAGGGTGATCCCAAGGGCCAACTGGTAATTGCTTGACTAGCAGAAGAATCTGTTGGAGTCCCTGGTTCAGATGGCAATGTAATAACTACATAAGTTTCTGTGAGGGATTTGGAAAATCTTGGTGAAGACTTGTTGGAGTGTGGGGAAAGTGGGGAGGTAGGGGAAGGCAATTTATAATCTGCTGAAGTCACTAAATTTAAGGTCATACTTGAAGTTAAAGATAGGCCTGTTGGTTTGGGGTGTATATCTGTTGGTTTTTGTGTAGTTGTTGGAAGCTGAGGAATCACTGGTTTGGGGGCGATTGGAGGTTTGCTTGGCTCAGGCCTGTGGGTAAATACAAGTCCAGATGGAATTGAAGATGGCTTAGGAGGAACAGGAGGAGGTGCAGTAGTACATATTCTTGTAACAGGTAATCCATTACTTCTCAGAACAGCTGTGGTCTCTAGAGTAGTAACAGCATCAAACAGAGGTGTAGCTGTAGTCACTGGAGATGCAACTGTTAACTTTTTTTTAGGAAGAATAGTTGGTTTAGGTGAAGTTGGTGGAGGAAGTGGTGGGGGAGGAGGGGGTGGTGGTGGAGGAGGAGGAGGAGGGGGAGGGGGAGGAGGGGGAGGAGGTTGAGCTGATATATCCAAAGAAGAACTTCTAAAGAATGGGCGAGGTTTAGCTGGAAGAGAGGAAACAGAAGGACTGCCAGATGGTAACTGAGATGCAGGTTTTTCCTGACCAAAGGTCTCTCCAGATGTAAAGTATGTAGTTGAAAGCTGCTCTTTCATTGGAAGGGCTATTACAGAAGAAGGTGGGTGATCAAACACGGTTTCGGATAAGCTACTTTTTGTTCGTTCGGCCTCCAACTCCTTTTTATCTCTGTAAGCTTCCAAAACTTCCAGAATGATTCCATTCCCAGTTTCCTTCTTGGCTTTCTTCACTGGGTCCTTTTCAGATATAAGTAAGTCAGTAGAAACAGTGTCAGCAACTGGCCCTTCAGGTTTAGGTACTACAGATTCTATGATAGAAGATGCCATATCAGATAAGGAAATAACAATATGATCAGCACTAGCTCTACCATCTGGTGGGGCAGTCCGATCTAAAGATACACTTATTTCTTCTGGATAGTCTATAATGCTGCCTGGAAAATAAGTTGATGAAGAAATTTCCTCAGAATCTTCAAATTTAGTTATCATGTCCACTGGCTCTGTATAAACTGTGGTTATGCTATCCAGGGTAGTAATGGGTGAAGAGCTATCTGTGGTACAGACCGAAGAAACAGATGATGTGAGAGAAGGTGTGTCAGAGGGTGGGACAGATGTAGCACTTTCTGAAGGCTCCGAGTAGGTCAAAATCAGCGATTCATGGGCAATTATCTCTTGAATTTCTCTTGTATAATCGGTTACATATTCATCCTCAATTTCTTCTGTTGAAAAATGTTGGGTTATTTTAACATCTGGGATAGAGAGTGTTGCACTGCTGGTCGAATCTGTAAGAGACGCTCCTGAGAGAACACTTGATGTCAAAGAGGCATCTGGCATTCTGTCAAAGTCCATGGTGGACTCTGTCATATCCTCACCAATGGGGGCCTGGGTTGGGCTAGATCCAGGTGTTAATTGCATCTGTTGCCTCTTCATAAGTTCTTCATAGGCAGCATCAGCATCTAGTAGTTTCCTTTCTTCTTCTGTAGAAGTTACCATAGTACCCAGGTCCACTATCTCATGGCTTTCTGGGATGATAAAAGAGCTTGAAACAATATCTTCCTGAGGCACAACAGAATGTAAGCTTTCTAACTCATAAAACTCTTTCTGGAGGTCTGTAATTTTCTGCATAGGATCTTCATAAATCTGTTCTGAAAGTCTTATCTTTTGCTCTCTTCCTTTCTGCTGCATAAATCCATTTTCTTCTTCTTGCCTTGTTAGCAGACTGCCATCTACCGATCCATTGTACGTGTCTTCTACTAAAGATTCATAAATATAATCCTCTATTAGCATCCCACCATACAAAGGCTCTTTTTCAAACACTTCATCTCGTTCATTTGCAGCTGGAAAAGCTTTGTATTTGTGTGTTTTATGCATCATTTCTTCATACATCTCCTCAGCACTTTTTAACGCCTTTTGGCTACCTTCTTTCTGCATAATAGATTGCTCATCTGTTGGTGAGTATAATGAAACAGCTGTGGGCAATTTATAAACTTTTTGTACTTCTATTATTTTTTCCGGGCTTATTTCAAAACCTTCTGGGTCTGACTCTATGCTAGGTGAATATTCAGAACAAGAAGATCTATGGAGCTCCTCCATTTCTGCAGCCTGACGTAACTCTTCTGTCGGAGATGCATCTTCAATGGGAGAGAGATTACTAGGTGGTGTCTTTGGCCTTTCCCTTCTTCTCTGAGCTCGAAGTTCATCTTTGTCTTTCTTTGATTTTTTACTAGAACTCTTTCTTTGTTGCTGTTCTATTTCCCTCTGCTTTTCTTGCTCCTTTAATAATTCTTCTTCCTCTCTCAATTCTTCTTCCTCTGAAGAATCTTCAATAGTAGGCAAAAGAGGGCCATGTGGTCTGTGCCGAGCTTTGCGTTGCTGTTTGCTCTCTCCTTTTTTGTGACTCGGGCTACTGTCACTGTCCTCATCAAGTGATGATACTGATGTAGGGGATGTACCAGGAGTGAAGCTGGAAGCATGCAGACTCGAAGATCCCTCTCCCCTTGACCTATCTTCAGGTGAGTCTGTCAGGCTTTCCATTTCCAATTCTGGCTCTTCGTCAAAATACAAACTTGTTTTTTTCTGTGATGACTCTGCAGAATATTTATCTGCTATTGTACTGTTGAGCTCAATTGTTTTAAATCGGCGTAGCCCTCCTCCTCCAGTAACTACAAGTTCTTCACTTTCCTGACTTTTAGTTTCTCTGTATTTAAGTTCAGGACTTTCATCAAATGCTTCATCGTCTTCATCATGCCATGAGTGACGTCTTCCTGCATCTTCATCAATGCTTGTGCTACTTTTTCGAGTCAGTCGTCTGTGTTTCCCTGCTGTTATTTTGCCTTTTCCCTTTGTTTCTTCCTTCTTCTGGCTCTCAGTACTGCTACTAATCTCTTTGAGCTGGTTTCTGATGAACTCATCATCTTCAGAACCTGAAGCATCTTCATCAGCACTCATTTCTATGATTTGTTTTCGAATGAAGTCCTCCTCTTCCCCTGATCCTTGGCTGTCTTCCTGTTTATACTCATCACTGCTTGATGAGCCAACACTAGTTCTTCGTTTTCTTTGTGGAACAGGTGAGTTTTCACTTTCACTACTCTCTTCAACTGAATCATAAGGCTCTCTTCTAGTAGTTATGTCATCAACAAACTCAGACTTCTCTTTATGGTCCTTGCTGGAAGGAATATCTTGTTGGCTATCTTTTTTAAAAGTGTCTTTCCTTTCTTCTTGACTCTCTTTGATCTCCTCTTCTGAAATAGTAATTTCCAAGGTTTCAGATAAACTCTGAGTTTTCTCTTGGTCTTTAGGCTGTTCAGGAGAAACTTCATGGGGTTGTGTTTTCTTTTCTGACTTTTCATCAGCAAGTGTACTTGCTTGAGCTTCCAAAATAGATAGGACTGTACTTTCTAACTTAGCCAAATCTGAGGGGCTGGAAGGGCTGCTTTCTTGTGAAAAAGAGTCCTTTTTGAGTCCCTTGAGAATATCCTTTTCATCAGTTGGAATAAGACTTGGAATTTCACCAAGTGAGCTTGATATTCCATCGGAAGAATATCCCGTGTCGCTCAGACCTTGGGGGCTTTTAGGCTGCTGAGAACTTGAGGTGTCTGATTTGTCATCTTCCTTTTCCTAAGCAGGGAGATAAAGATACAGGAAAACTTAACATGGTTAAACTAAAAACATGGCCTCTCCATTACTACCAAATAACTATTAGGAACTGAAAAATAATTTTGGAAAATTTTTTCAACCATATCTCAGTATTTTTTAAAAGTTTGAGAAAAATATTGTTGATATGCGTTGGTAAGGTTAGTTTCCATTTAAACTAAATTTAATTAAATGTCAATTCTCAATGATATTTGATCTTCTTTCATAAATACTCTACCTTTTCACATTTCAATGTCATTTTCCCTCAAAAATATGATTACTTTTCTCAATAAATTTGCTTTAGGATAAAGTTTATAAATTGTGATGAAGATATTTAAAGATAAATTTTCTATTAACATAAGTTATACTTTTGGATTATGAGGTCAGGTAAAGTTCAAGAAAGCATCAGACAACGGGCTTTGTGCCTGGCTGCAAGTTGTAAGGGATGTTGGAGAATTTACTAAACAAAAAAAAAGCAAATAACATGTCATAATAACATATATGCCATGTACCACAAATAATTTTGTTATCATTCTTGTCAAATGATTCAAACAAGGCACTGCTTTTAAGAGACATTTTGAAAGTTATGAAACACTATATATACTTGGTATTATTGTTAATATCATTACTCTACATCACTTGGAATGAATGTTTAGAAATTATGTACTTTGAAAAAGTTATACAATAATTGGTCTGACTCATCAGTTCAGTTAAAGAGAAATATCCAGCTGTTATTTCTATAGAGTTGTTAATCACATTTATCTTCAGCATCTCATCTCAAAGGTGTTTCACTAATGTCACTTACAAATACCTTCTGATTTTGAAATCTTGTTTTATCTTGAAAAGCAGCTTCCTTAAACAATAAATAGCTTTTGTGAGCGGGAGCATGGGCTTTCCAGAGATCTGGGACCCTTAGCAACACACCACAACCTTGAACTTGTTGCCTTTCTTGGGCTATGATGATGCCATGACAACAATTTCGATTCAAGAATCAGAGAGGCCTTAAATAAACATTAAATACAGAGACTTGTTGCATAAAGACTTTTTTGCTAATTAAAAATATATATGAGCAAAATAAAACTGATTCAGTTAGTTGTCCTGTTTAAAGGAGAGTGTCACAATAGTCTCACAGCCTACAGAAAGGAGGGGTTAGGGGAACAGCTGCCTAAGAGCATGCTATAGCTCATTCTAGCCTGTGAGGCCACCTTAATTCCACTAAGTCTGTATCTTGTACTGTCTCAATATTTTCAGTGTGTGTTGGCATGAGCTCTTCTGATCTAACTATGGCCCAAGTAAACAGATGTACGGTTGCACAACAAACATACTCCTTCCTTCCTTCCTTCCTCCTTCCTTCTTCCTTCCTTCATCCTTCCTTCCTTCTTCCTTCCTTCCTCCCTTCTTCCTTCCTTCCTTTCCTCCCTCCCTCTCCCCATCCTTCCCTCCCTCCTTCTTTTCTTCTCCTTTTTCTAGTTAGAGTTATCAAATATAAATATTGTTGGCTTGATGCTCATTTTACATTCATTTTCATCTAAATATATACCTTTATTATGCATGGTCAATGATCTATCCTGAGCATATTACAGGGTAAAATGATTTTGCTGAATTTACAATGTTACTCAATTAAAAAAGACAGTGTGATATATTCTTAACAACTTTAGTGCAAAAACTAATGCCTACTCTTCAGTGTGCACCTAGAATTAACTATACTGTACCAATTTGAATGTCTTTCCAGTAAAGAATTTCTTATCTGCAGTTGTGAGACTATAGCAGGACGGTTGATGAGCACTTCACTCATTTCAGCTCCTTTCTCATACTGAAGTGGCAAGCAATGGTGAAGCTGCCTTCTAATAAATGCTTTCTGGATGGTTATAGTGGAGAGACATTTCCATTTCATTACATCCCAGAAAATGCCAGAGCACATTTTTTGG
The DNA here is from genome assembly GCF_000001405.40 of Homo sapiens. Classification (NCBI taxonomy): domain Eukaryota; kingdom Metazoa; phylum Chordata; class Mammalia; order Primates; family Hominidae; genus Homo; species Homo sapiens. The sequence goes on from NC_000007.14 coordinate 82,958,879, forward strand.
AATTCAGTATAATTTCTATGTCCTTCCTTGTTTATCTTTTTTTAACCCTAGCCCCATCCTCCCTTTACTGAGTTACAGTAAACACCATCATGATGGGGGTGGGGTACTTAAGCTCCTTGTGAATAAAAGGTCAAGAAAATGATCTTTCACAATCAAACTTTGATAATGTCATGTGTATTCTTATTTTTCTTCTTACTATTTTTTTTTAGATGGAGTCACGCTCTGTCACCCAGGCTGAAGTGCAGTGGCTTGATCTTGGCTCACTGCCACCTCCGCCTCCTGGGTTCAAGCCATTCTCCTGCCTCAGCCTCCCGAGTAGCTGGGATTACAGGCATGTGCCACCACGCCTGGCTAATTTTTGTATTTTTAGTAGAGACGGGTTTCACCATGTTGGTTAGGCTGATCTCGAACTCCTGACCTCGTGATCCGCCCACCTTGGCCTCCCAAAATCCTGGGATTACAGGCGTGAGCCACCGTGCCTGGCCATGTGTATTCTTTATTTTGTGTCTACATATATTAAAATATGTAACAATGTCATAAAATATGCATATATGAAAGAAATGTGACCATGGTTATATGTAACAATTCAGAGGACCATTTAAAAAGTTACGGTTTTATATAATGGATTCTGAAGGTTCTACTGATATTATACAAAACAGATTAGGACCAGACTTATATAATGTAACAAGGGAAATTAAGTGACATTAGACAGAAGATTAATACACATAAATATCAAAATACCAGCCCTGCAATCTCCCTTATGTGCCTTTTCCTTGTGTTCATGCTTTTCTTCTTCACTCAGCACCACGTCTTACCCACTTATTCCTCCTCTCACTCACTGCCTGGTCTCCTCCCTCCACACTCCTCACAGGATTTCATCATTGTTTACCTACGGTGGTGATGCTGCAATGATTTTTTTTCCCCTAAATAACTTTTGCATATTATAAGGTGGCAAGTTGGCAAAGTGTTTACTCTCCAGGCTTTTTTTCCTTTCCCTTCCAATAACCCCCTGCCATTTATTGAGCTGCAGACTGGTCAGTGAGAGGCAGTGACGATCGGAGCCCCATTTGGATCTCTTCCCATGGTGGTGTATCTTGAGGCCTTCACTAGTAGTGGAGAATGTGCCAAGACATATCTGCACTGCCAAATTTGGTTTTGCTCTTTTCACAAAAGCCTTCCATATTGAAGGCAAACAGAATATTTTTTGAATATTGTTAAAGAACTGAATTCTAGATGACATATAAAACTGTGCAAAGAAAGGATGCAGTGTTAAGTTTTTGTTTAATTTTCCATTTATTTTGACGGGCTAAAATTAAACAATGAATGCAAATCTTCAATAATTTACATAAAGTTTACATCAATGCAGATTACTGATTTGAGTGTTTGAAACACTCCAAACAAAATTAAGCCAATAAAATTCACTGGACCTGGAGTGAAAGATCGGATGCTCTCATCTAAGCACTATAATATGGGAGTCCTCCTCACTACAGAAAACATTATTATTTTTCATCGTTTCTGATTAGGCAGCCACTTATTGGCTATATGTAACTTGAATACTAACCCTCATATCATTTTAACCAGAAATGAAAGTACCTGCTAAAGAATGTTCCAAGTTTGGTTTCTATGAGGAGAGTATTTTCGTGTACTATATCAAATAAAGATTTAAACAGTATTATGTTTGTGTATATAAGTAAAAAGATAAAATTCTATAGCAATATGACTTTTAAAATATTAAACTAAAAATTTAAAAATGTGTATGTAATTTTCAAATTGTTATACTTCAGGATTAATTTTAATGCTATTCAACAAACATTTTGAAAGATAGGAATGAATGAAGTAATAAAATGATGTGGCAACAAAGAAATGTAAACAATGTACTATAATAATATGAACGACACAAATGACAGCTAGATGAATGATTAAATAATACACATATATAAATAGAGTAAAATATTATACCAAGTGTTTGGTATAGCAGTGAGGGTTGCTAAGAGAGATGGATAATTATAATAATGAAAAGGCAGTATTCTAAAAGTGTCATAGGAAAAAACATCTTGTGCAGTGGGTGAGGGCACAGTCTTTGTAATCAGAGATGGACTATAATTCTAGTACTTCTGCCTTCCAGCTATGTGATCTTGGGCACAGAAATTCAGTTCCCCCATCTTTACTAAAGCTATCATAATATTAACCTTATCAATAATTGTATAAGGAAGTACTTAACATAGCAGCCAGAATAGTAAGAGGTAAATTAAGAGTATTGTTTTGACTGTAAATAAAAACTAATTAATAAATTAATCATTGCAGAAAATTCTGCATCAGGAAAACTGACTACCACTAGGGAACAGAAGGGCAGACTCATGGAAGTCATGCTAGCAAAGTGGTCTGGAGGTTCAGGTGGGATTTTTTCTGACACAGTTGATGTGAAGGTGCAGCATCAGTGCACGTAGAAAAACTGAGAACAGGTTCAGAAAGGAGAAAGCACAAGCTTTGTTCAGGAATCACACAAAGGCATATTTGGCTGTTTTTCTTTAATTTCTCCCCATGGGGAATGTTAGCGGTTGCTTGAAAGTTGTGCTGGAGCCAGATTCCAGAAGGCTGAGAAAGCCAACTAAGCCATTTAGACAGGAGTCTCCACTGTGGCGTGCACATACCCTGGAAGCTATCTATGCAAAGTGCTTCAGTGGAATACAATGAGAAGACACTAGGATTTTAGTTGTATTTTTAAATCCAAAATACAGGATAAATTAAACTGCACTAATATTTAATCAATAGATGGACAATACTATTATCTTACTTGTCATGTCAGTTGGTCACATGGTCTGTGAGGAATCCTGGGAGAAGGCTGGAAGTTATAATGAGGCAACCAACTATAAAGAGAAGTTACAGTGAGGCAACCACTTCACTTGCTCACCTTTACGTTGAAGTTTATTGTTCAGTTATGCAGATTTATGGTTTGTAGTTACAATAGATCACCTAGTTTTAACTAAACCAGCTTTCCTATAATAGCTAAGTAGTAGAAAAAAATTCTGCAAAAAAAATCATTTGTTAAAGATCAAACTAGTAATGTAAGAAATACACACATGCACTCACAAGAAAGTTGACACTTTTCATATTGTTACAAGCTTTTCATCAGTTTTCATAACAAGGTGAGAACAGTGATCATCAAATTAAATCAGATCTGACTTGAAGTTAGTAAAAAATGCTTGACATTATCAGGAAAGCTATTTGAAATCTGTTTCTGCATCTATTATTGCTAATAACAAACCTTACCCTAAATATAGAACGTGCTTTGAATCAAAGCCAGTGGTATTATGACACTATCACAAACCTCTGTAATTTTCAGAAAATAAGTTTTCTAGTACTTTATAAGTTTTCACTAATTTCAATAATAACCATCTGGAATCTTCTTTTGAATTTTCTTTCTCAATAAGAAAAATCACATGACAGATGGGGAAATGTTTTTTATTTTTGGCCATGAAAAAATTACTAAAGTAATATGTGGAATCAATATAGTGACAAATCAAACTACATTCCTTTGTCAGCAAATGTTGTTGGAAGAAACAAAGAAATAGTTGTGGAAGGTTTGGGAAAAATTATTAGAACAAATTAAGTAGCAAAAGATCTAATAATAATATAACCCAACTATGGAGATTTCTTTACATACTCAGTTCATAATATTCCCTGTTTCTCTTAAATTAATAATAAAATAGTTTAAGAATTACTATTGTGAACCCTCAAGGAAAAATGTACCAATGAAGACATAGCCTCAATGTAGAGTGATTTGTTTAATTCAAAAAATGTATATTTTTTAAATAAAAAATATTAAAAATTGAGAAGTAATTTCTCTGATTGGAATTATAATTTTAAAGAATAAGGTTAGGGAGATGGCAGTACATGTGAAAAACATTTATTCATTACAAGTAAGCCAGAATTAGACAGACTGCCTCAAGATATTACTGATATAGTACACTGTATACTAATAAGACCTTTATATTTTGAAGAATATTTATTTTGTACTGAGACAGAGAATATGACATTATTTTTGACCATGACACAGATATTTACTGTTTACCTCATGGAAAATTAGTTAAAAAGCTGCAGAATGTGAAGATTTGATCCTTTCTTAAAAATAGAGGATTGCAAGTGTTTTTCAGTAATACAATACTTATTAGATAGCAAGAAAATAAACACTAGTTGTCAGCAATATGCTGGGTATTATATATTTAAAGCAAAATAAACAATACCTGTTTCTTTGAGAAAATTATAATGTGGAAACAGCTCTTTGAAGATAAATATTTGGAAATTATCATATGATTATGCTATACAAAATAATGTCACTTTGAAAAGTTATCATGTCTGCTTATTTAACAAACTTTAAAACAGAATATTTTAATCTGTTTAAAAACCTTCTAGACAAAGAAATGCAATGGGTTTTAAAATCATTTGTTGAAAAAGTATTTTAAAATCCCCACATTTTCTGATAGTTAACAAACACAAATGATTGGTATTAAGGAAGGTTAACACTTATTTGTGCGATTGCCAATTCTTTTTTTCATAATTGGTTTCCAATCCACACTTAAAAAAAAAGGTAGCAATACATAGTGAGAACAAACTGTGAGCTACTTCTTTCATTTCTAGCATGTACTTTTTAATTATCTTTTTTTCCTGCTCTGAATAGCCATTAAAACTGAACATCCAAGCATCAAAATAAGCTTAACTTTGAAGCTGGATTTCAAATAACTGTATCATAAAATTGTACACCAAGATCTTAAAAAATATTAAAACATAATCAGTGCTCTCTCTAAAATATCATTATTAAACACCTTTTAAGGTGATCAAATGTATCTGTATTTACTATCTGCATTTAAATAAATATAATAACAATGGTAATTTTAGTTTATGTCACTGAGTTATTCTCTATTCTTTGTGAATGTTTTATAAGGTAAATATTAGTAAAATAGTGCATACATAAAATTTATAAATACATATACACATATTGAGGTTGTATAACGAAAGAAAAAGTATAATAAAAAGAAAGTGAAAAAGTTATAAAATAAAGGAAAAAAGTACTGCATTCAGGAAAATATTTGAAAACTTCTTGTTTGGAATATATTTAAAACACAATAGGGAATCATTAGGAACATCTGAGTGATGGAGTTCAATTATCTGAACCCTAGAAAACATTTACCTGACAGCTATAGACTGGAGAAGGGAGAAAAGGAAGGCATTCTAACCAGTAATTAGATTGCTCAAATAATTGGCAAAAGGTCATGAAAGCAGTAAGTAAGGTAGTGCCCTGAGGAACAGGAGTTAATAGACAGAAGTGTGATACCTTCATTGTGGAGAACAAAGGACAGGTAAGAAGAGACCTGAAATCACTCAGAAGATGAGTAACTGGGAGACAGGAGACAGGTGCTTGATGGTGAAACAGAAAGTTACAAGCAGAAACTGTTTCTACAGAGAAGTGGAAAAGAGTCAGACATATTGAGTTTGCATTTACAGAGAGGCTTTGAAGTAGAACTACTGACTAGGTACTTGAAAATGCAGGTCTGACACTCAAAAGAGGGACAAGAGGTACATAAGTGGATTCAAAAATTGTTCATGTAGCTCCCATAGGAGGAACAAAGACAGAACTCAAAACAAAACAAGGAAAATCATCTGGACTTTGCAAAGATAAATCATAGAGATAGTCAAAGTAGATTTCATAAAGTATGATCAGAAAGACAAAAAGAGAAGGAAAGTAGAGGGCCATGAAAGCCACAGAAAGTTTCACAAAGGGACAAACAGTACCAAGCATCAAGCTCTGCAAAGGTTAGCTGGAAGAAGCAATTGGTGGTGGTGGCGGTGGCTAGATTCAGTCATTAGAATGGAGACTATATATAGGCATCTTTTTGACTCTGATCAAACTCATTTAATGAAAGGAGACCAGGATTTACTTAGACAATGTGTGATGCATCAGATAGCAGAGATGGGTTGGTAAGCATGTGTTAAAACTGTAAAGAAAACACAATTGAATCACAGTGAAACAAACTATAGTTTCTAGTTGGAATTTTAACACTATTAAATTATTTAATTTCCTGGTAAGTCATTGCTGTCCTCTGTGAATTAAACATATTCAATTAAGTATAATGTAAGATCTCTTACAGCTCCAAAAAATATCAGAGTTCCACTGAAAAGGATGTAACTGCTTGTGAAAATACTGGTTAAAATGGGTTAAATGAAAATTTTCCATTAAAGAAAAAGAAAAGAATATTTTTCCAAATTATGCTGATTATAAATAACCTTTCAATATTAAACACATTGAATAAAACTGCTAACAGATACATTATATTAAAAATCATGCTAAATATTAAACTGCTTTGTGAAATTTTAGAATGACTTTTGCTTTGGATTTTAGTTACGTCATTTTTTTTTCCTTTTTTCTTTTTTCTTTCTTTCTTTTTTTTTTTTTTTGCAATCACTTTATGGCTGACCACACATTAAATAAAACCTTGTTGACTCTTACGTAAACAAATGGTTAAGTAAACAGAAACTTACATAAAGACACATTACTTTATGTTAAAGGGGGATATTGATTTTTATATCCATAGTAGAGAAAATAAATAAAACTAGATAACTTCTTTATCACTCCATATGATTTTGATAGATTATTTGATAGGCATAAGAAACAGGGAAATAAATGTGGTATTTATGCTTTATGTAAACTTCATAAAGCTGTGAAAAGACCAAAGTTCTTCATTATAGTCAAACAAGTGTTATACTTCTTTAAGAATGTCATTCATTGTTTGAGGAACTTCACTTATATAATTACCATTGAGCAACTTGTATACTTAGGTTAAAAATTAGTAATTTCACACATGAGAGTGTGAGAAGTTAGTAAAATTTAACTTACTGTTTTTTCTTTCCCAGGTTCCACCTGATCAGGTTTTGCTGTGCATGGTGGCTGTGGCTGTTCTTTTATTGTTTTGGTTGTCTTATCATCTTCTTTAGGTAAACTCTGAGGTGTGCCAGATGGTAAACCTTCCATCTTGGTCTGTGGTTGTTTCCCTTCTTGCACTGTCTTTGGAGCCACTCTGCCTTCAAGCTTTTCTTCAGCAATTTGTACTTGAGATTTAAGTAAGTCATGTTTCTGTTCTTCTGGGGCTGATGTTTTTGCCTCTGGGAGTAGCTTTTTGTCTTCAGGGGTTGGCTTTTTTTCTTCTAGGAGTGGCTTTTTTTCTTCAGAACGTATCTTTTCTTCTTCAGGGATTAGTTTTTTTTCTTCAGGGAGTGGCTTTTTTTCTTGAAGAGCTGAAGCTTTGTCTTTCTCTAGTTTACTCTCTTCTTGTTTTTGATCTGTGGTTACCATAGGAGGAATTTTTTCCATTGATAGTGTTTCCTTTACTTTTTCCAGAATGACTTTTTCAGCTTCCGTTTTTACTTCTTGTTCTTGCTTTTTCACTAATTTTACTTGGGGAGGCACTGCTGTTTTCTGAGATGATGATTCTGTAGGAACAGGCATAGGAGATGCTTTGGGTCCTGATGGTGCAGGTGGCATTTTGCGTATGTCTCCAAGCTGTCCTGATATTGCTCTCTGGGTTTGGCAATTTAAACAAAGCCATTCTTGAATCTGTGGGAAAAAAATTACAATGAACAGATTGAATGTATTATAATGTATCTGTTTCTGTGATTTTACCAAAGTGAAAATTTGGCAATTCCTATCTGCTGTTTTTGTACATGGAGAAGGTGGGTCACTGTTTTCCAAATCCAATGACGCAGTAATTTTTTAAAACATTACAAAAAGGCTATTTGAACTGTAAAACTGTATAGAATTTCTAGAGACTAGCAATTCACTATCTTCATTAAATGAGAAAAAGAAAGAGAAATAATTACATTAAACGTGGACCCAGAGAAATATTCATTTTCAGGAAGAAAAAAAATCTGCATTTGTTCCAAATAAAATTATTTTAAGGCCTGGCTTCTTCAAAATTAGTATTTTCATCCAAAATTTATTCAAAGACTATTATATTTCATAATAATTATCTTTATAATAACCAATTAATCAAAAGTTCTTTTAGGATTTAGCCTATTATCTCCTATCTCTTGACTTGGGCCAAATATAGTTCTACCTTTCAGAGTAGAGCTTTATAGGTATAGACAGTTTTCAAGAATCACTTGTGCATAATCCTCTGCTTCCAGATTATGAACATAATCTCATTCTTAATACTAATCACATTACCTCATGCAGTTGAATAAGAAGCACTCCAAGTCTCAATTATTTGGTATCTTTTTCCCTGAGTGTCCTGATTTGCTGACTAAAACATTTTCTTTCTTCTTTTCTTTTTTTTTTTTTTTTTGCCCAGGCTGGGGTGCAATGGTGCGATCTCGGCTCGCTGCAACCTCCACCTCCTGGGTTCAAGCGATTCTCCTGCCTCAGCCTCCTGAGTACCTGGGATTCAGGCACGCGCCACCCATGCCCGGCTAATTTTTTATTTTTAGTAGAGATGGGGTTTCTCCATGTTGGTCAGGCTGGTCTTGAACTCCCGACCTCAGGTGATCCGCCCACCTTGGCCTCCCAAAATGCTGGGATTAGAGACATGAGCTACTGTGCTTGGCCAAACATTTTCTTATATTGCTGCTCTTCAGTGTCTAAGCCATGGTCACCCGCACTAAATCAACTAATAGGGTCTTTAGACATACAAATTCCTAGGAACTACACCAAAAACCATTTTAGCAGAATCCTGGGAGAGGAAACAGGAGGACCTGCCTTTTTGATAAACTGGTTGAGAATTTTTGCAAAGTAAATACTAAAAACTACTCTCTGATAAGAATATAGAACAAATGATCACCTAGGAGACAAATTATGTTAGAATAATACTATTAAAGAATTCCTCCCTGATTGATGTGTGTTGCATTTTTTCTTACATTATATCTATTCTAATGTTAAAAAGTAAAGGCTGTGTATGTAGTTCTAATTGTTACCACTGAATGTGTACCCATTCTGTAAGGCACAGGGTTAGAGTGTCATACAAATAATATTGCTTTCATGCATTACATTGTGCTCTGAGAAGTTCAGTTTCAAATTGCTTTTCATGCTGGCTCACTCTTTCTAGTTGCTTATCTTAAAGTATTTAGATAAAAAAATCACTTATTGCTCTAGAATACTAAAAGATATCTAAGTTTCATTTCTTACTTCAGGTTCCAATTACTTTAGAAACTAACAATGTTGCTTAATAACTATGATTATTTTGCAATCTGTAAGCCATTATAATTCTTATTTGCTGATCTAAAAGAGTAAAGACAAAAGTCAATTCTGTAAATGTGGTAAAATGCTGCCAATAAAATATTAGGATATATATGGATTCATTTGCTTTTTGTGTATATAATCACTCAATATCAATTCTCTTGTTAATTTCATGTCTAAGGAGCTCTGAAGTGAATTGTGTGCCTTCTTTAATTAATGTTTTTATATAAAAGTCATTGGAAAGAAGATTTGATTCATTATGTCAAATGCTAAAAGTTCTAGCTCTTGTGTTGAACAGTCCCTGAAGGAAGAACTTCCATAATACCTACAGAAAATCAATCTTAATCTATAACATGGTTTTAAAAACTATTACTTGGTTGAACCACATCTTAAGAGATTTTCATTCAGAGTCTGACTTTTTTTTTTTTTTTTTTTTTGAGATGGAGTCTCACTTTGTCACCAGGCTGGAGTGCAGTGGCTTGATCTTGGTTCACTGCAATCTCTGCCGCCCGGGTTCAAGAAATTCTCCTGCCTCAGTCTCCTGAGTAGCTGGGATTACAGGTACACGCCACCATACCCAGCTATTTTTTGCATTTTTAGTAGAGACGGGGTTTCACCATGTTACCTAGGATTGGTCTAGATCTCCTGACCTTGTGATCTGCCTGTCTTGGCCTCCCAAAGTGCTGGGATTACAGGCATGAGCCACTGCGCCCAGCCCCAGAGCCTGACTTTTTAAAACACAAAAACAGATACGAATGGCTGCATTACCGTGCTGATTTGCCACATGGATTCTAAAAACGAAATACAGGTGGGTATTAAGCATCTCCATAGGCTATGTTCTAATATAAATAAGTTAGAAAATTTTAATATACCAGAAATATAGGTTTCATGCCATTGGAAATTTTTGTCATTTAAAGAAGTGAGACTATTCTATCTGAGATGTTGGGACAGGGACAAATTATTCTTAAAAAATTGCCATCTCTTGCTACTTTACAGCATATGAGGCCACAATGGTACATGGCTCTTGGCACAAGAAAAATGTGTTGAGAAAATAAAACATAGCAATAATTTCAAGGTAGTATACTCATTATTTTCCTATAATTTGAAATTTAGGTATGAGGATAAAAGGTATCATCTATGTAATCTATTTTGTCACATAAAATATTTCATTGTCCCAATTTAAAGTAATGCTTGGTAAACCTATAAAGTGGTGATAACCATTAAACTACTAAGGTTTGTAATGCAAACAGAAGGCAATAGTGTAAATCTGAGCAATAAAAGATCTTATCCTGAGAGCCTCATTGGCTATTTCAAATTAATGTTTTGCTTAAATTGCCATCCATGTTCAGTTAAACCTAGCATTTTAAATAATTGCTATTTTGCAATTATTTTTAACATAATGTTGCTATACCCAGTCTCTTGGGTGCATGACTAATTTTCATTGTGAATGAAAGAAGGCAGCCAGCCTAATTCTTCTGAACTTACACTCTGACTAATTGTCACCAAAATTAATTTGGAGCTGATATTTCTATTACGTCAAATAATGACAAAATAATTCATTCATATATCTATTCTGTATGTATCTATTTGGTTTATATCTATTGGTTGGAAAGTGCATATGCAAAGGTTATTTCATCAAGGGACCAACATTCAAGTAGAAGAAATAAAGCATGGGTGAAAATAAGTTAAATATGCAGTAAAAACAAAGAGACGGAGATATTGTGTTGCAATGCAGAAGAGAGAGATACCACTTCTAGTTAGATATTTTCCAAGAAGGTTTGGCCTTAAAATAGATATGTTAATAAATTGTGAATGTGAAATAAATCTATTTTCCCAAAAATATGTCTTGTCACTATTTGACATAATAGAAATATGAAATGAAAATATCTATTCAGATTCGATAGCAATCAGTCAAAATGTAAATACAACATCAGGCTAAGGCCTTATTTCATTCACATTGAAATTCAATGATTAAGTTAAGAGATGAGGCACAGCAAAAATCATATAACATATGCCTGCAAAAAGGCAATGATTAAAAACACTAGATTTGACCAAATCTAGGTAAAAATTAAACAATAAACATGTTGCTTAGCTGTAAGGTAATGGAAGATAAAGTTGAAGAGGCAAGTTGAGATTCTCTCTTAGGTGGCAATTATTCCCAAATAAATGACACTTATTGCCATAACTAGACATTTTGTAGAAGAAACTGTAATCCAGTGAAGGTTTCTGTAAAGGAGTAAAATCTGCTTCTTTAAGATCAGGCCGGCAGAATGTGGTTACCTACCTATGTTGGTAAAAATTAAATCTAGAGGCAGAAAGAAACTATTAGAGGAAATGGAAAGGATGGAATGAATACAACAAGATTATCTGAGGAATTTAGTTTGAAACATAAGGAATTTGATAAATTATAAGCCACAAAAGAGTATGTTTTTCAACAATCAGAAATGCTAAACTGGTGGTCTCATATGTGTCTCTTCTCTTTTCTGCAGCCCTAGAACCAAAAATAAAATGTCAACAAATTCAGCAAGCAGAGGAAGTTATAATGTCAATAAGAGTTGAAAGAGAACAAAGCCCTAGAGTAACACCAAAAATTTTACATTTCTTTAGATATATAAATTCAAATTTTGTTTATTAAGGGGGAGCATAGGAGTATCATTGGAGGAAAATACAGAATCTAGGTAAAATACAAAGAGGAAATGAGAAAAGAAAAATTGATCAGGTTTTTCACAGTGAGTAAAAAGAAATAACAGTAAATTTCCAAGAAAGTTTATTTTGGACAATATGGGTCATCATCATTATCATATCATCATCAATTATAAACAAACTGACCAGAAAAATTTGCTTCTCCCAAAATTTTGGAAATACTCTATAACCTAAACATCTGTAGGTCACAATTTTTTTTCATTCTTTAACAAAAATAATCCAAAGATTTTTGTATCAGTGTATTCAGGAATTTAATTAAGAAATATTGTATTTATAGTTCCAAAAGATGTTATCTATACTCTTAGTTCCTAAATAGCCACACCATGACATTTTCATATTGTTTCTGGTCCAGTAGCAACCTGGAAATCAATTAAACAAAATTATTTCACTTACGTAACAACTCAATGTATCAATGCCATGTATGACTTTTACTTGCTGAAAAGATTTAGCCAGATATAGCATTAACTCTTCCTGGAACAGTTAGAATTGTGATACGCATGATTATTCATATTTTGCCTTAAGGTTAAGTATCAAATGAGTTATAGTTTTATCTTTGAAATATCTTCTTATAAATATAGTAAGACAACCAGCAGTTTTATGTGTATGTGTGTGTGTATATATATGTGTGTGTGTGTATACATCTGTAATACACACACATAAAACTGCTGGTGGTCTATTATATCAAATTTTATATATATAATAAAATTTCATTCTATATGTGTATAGATATAGATCTATCTATATAATCATATAATATATATCATGTTATATAATATATAATATATAATATATATGATATGATATATGATATCGTATAGATATATATGATAAAATTTCATTTTAAGGTGCTGTTTGCAACATTTCTCCAATTCAAATTTGTTTATTACTTTTAATGGAAAAAGTAATGGAAAAAGCCACAATTACTTTTGTACCAACCATATATATATATATATATATGTACTGAGAACATCTCTATTGTATTACTGAGTTTACTACATAAAAAATTACAAAATATAGATGCTTAAGGAGGCTTTAAAAAAACATGCTAATCATCCTTGTGGATGCTTTAAGACTGCTTCCATTTTTTTTCCGGTGATTTTTAAATATATTTTGACTATGCTATTATAAGTATCATCTAATGGTATAAAGCAATAAAAGTTTATGTTTCATCTATGTTATCATTAAATATAAACAAACTCAGAGGCCTCCAAATTATGAGACCAATCACCGTTTATTCAGTGCTATAACATTAATAATCAGGGTATCAAAATTCATCTCTAAGTAGGAAACATTCTGACAAGTAGAATATGTAAAATAACACCATACTGATCAGAAAATACTCAAATTTATTCAATTGTCAGCTAGTACATGTTAATAAAACACATTTATTTTAACATCAATTCACGAGAGCTTGTTCAAAACAAAACAGTGTTCAAAAAATCCATTCATCTTAAGAAGGAAAGTAGAAAATGAAGGCAATAAAAACCCAGAGAAGGGATGCTACTGTGCCACTCAGCATTTTTCCATCAATAAGCAATTTGCTTTATATAACATTTCAGCTGTAACTATAGCAACAATCCCATTAAGGAGAATCTCAGAACTTCAGGGCTGCCTATTTATTTTTCTAAGGATCTTTTCCAAAGCATAATAGTAAGACTTGCAGCAGGTTGAACAGGTTGAAAGTTTGCTTTTAGACTTAAAATGGTAAGGAAATGGTGGTCACAAAACCTACGTGAACATTCATATTTGTGTTGGAGAAATCTTCCAAACACTACCTTAAAATTAAATTTCATTAAAGGTCAAGTGAAGTGATTAGGAAGCTTGTATCATTTCCACCCATAGAAGTATGTAGTCAAAGACTGGGTAGGTCATGTCTCAAAATTCTGTAAAGAAATCCAAGCAATCAAGGAGATTGGTACTATTACATCAAGTTCCCTGCCCACTATGAAGCTTTTGACTCAACACAAATTTTACACTGGTTTTCGTTTATCTATTTATTTGCTTATCATTTGGGGTAAAATTTAAAAAGAGAAATAATTACAGTAATAAACTGCTTAGAATTCTCCTTTTTACTTATTGACAAATACACCAATTGGGGAGCAATGTTACCCGTAACTTGTCATTTTTATCAATGTTATTTACAATCTCGGCAATATGGTGTTCTATTCAACTCAGATCCACGCATTTTTACAATTCAATGTGACATTCTGATAATTTTTTTTTTAGTTATAAATTCATTCCCTTTATGACATCTACAAAAGGGAGAAGGATTGAATTCACAGTTGACACATTCTTTTTCCAGACTACACAATCGATTGTTCAGACTACAAGATCAGGACATTAGAAATCTATAATCAGTCCTGAGACTGCAGTTTATAAGTATGCATAATGATGAATTTGAGATACTTCTATGCTTACTCCGTCCCTTCAAAAAATAAATGAAATGTGTGTCAGGTCCTTTTATCATTATATTCTTTTACCGAGGCTGTGCAGCTTCATTCATATTTTGTTTCTTTTAAAACCACTGACACCAGAATAATTCATGTTCAAAATACATAATTGAATGATTGAGGTTCTTCCTCATATATAGACATAAGATTATATCAAATTATATTAGAACATAAATATGTATATGAATACAGTGTTGAGAAATAAAAATAGTCAACATAAAATACTAATTTCCAGTTGAATTGCTGAATTGAAGAATATAAATACAACCTAATACAATACAGGTACTGTTAGAAACTTGTACTAGAGTTATCATTCCTAGGTAAAAGGTGATTAGTGGTCATGCCTACCCATCTCTTACCTGCATGCTTATTTCTGCAAGACCTCACACTTCTGTATAACAAATGAAGTCTCTTTGTTTCCCTCATTAGAAACTTGCATTCAGCAGAAGGCAGATTAAAAAAAAAAAACTTGCAATGTAGGTTTCTGTATAATGTAAAATACATTAACAGATATTTCCATAAATAGCAACATGCCAACTAAAATTATGTATATTACAACCAGATATTAAAACTGTGTGTAGAATATGATTTCATACTCTTGATTGATACTCTTTTTGTGTTAATTTTTACTAAACCAGAACCATGATTCTGGTTGCTTTCTTATCAAAATTCATATACTTTTTTCTGAAACTAATGATCTCTGAATTTTCGATGTTTTCAATACTATTACATAAATAACACATAAATGAAAACTTGCTCTAATTTAAATATCTGTGAATTATTACATTAACACAATTTTAACAGATCTGAAGAAAATCATATGCTTAGTTTTCTTTTACAAGATATATATGGCTGGGTGCAGTGGCTCACATCTGTAATCCTAGCACTTTGGGAGACCGAGGTGGGTAGATCTCTTGAGGTCAGGAGTTTGAGACCAGCCTGGCCAAAATGGTGAAACCCCATTTCTACTGAATGTACAAAATTAGCCAGGTGTGGTGATGGGCACCTGTAATCTCAGCTACTTAGGAGGTTGAGGCAGGAGAATCATTTGAACCCAGGAGCTGGAGGTGGCAGTGAGTTGAGATCACGCCACTGTGTGATTCTCAACTGAGTAGACTACCTGATCTGAGTTTAATCAGAGTTATTAGATTAACTGATCATCTACCAGTGTGTGTATAAAGGACAACTCCAAAGGCACAGCTGATTTCTCACTGGTAACCAATGATGCGCTAAACTTATGGGTAATCATACAACTTAATGCATTGATTTTAGCTAACTTTAGCGGAAATATAAGACTTAGAAGAAAGGCTTATCTATGGGTTCATAGCATTTTTTGTGATTAATTTTTCTAGTGTACTAGGTTTTAGGCTGATAGCTATTTATGTATTATAAGTGTGGTATAAAAATAATCAATAGTTTTAAAAATATATCATTTATGTTTTATGTGCGTCAAGTTAATTTTTAAAATGTAATCAGTTCTCATCCCTCTGCTCTTATAGAGGTGTATTTTGGTATATCTTTTTATTTTATTTTATTTTTTTAGAGACAGAGTCTTGCTCTGTTGCCCAGGCTGGAGTGCAGTGGTGCAATCTGGGCTCATTGCAAGCTCCATCTCACGGGTTCATGCCATTCTCCTGCCTCAGCCTCCGGAGTAGCTGGGACTACAGGTGCCCGCCACCATGCCCTGCTAATTTTTGCATTTTTAGTAGAGGCGGGGTTTCACCGTATTAGCCAGGATTGTCTCGATCTCCTGACCTGGTGATCCACCCACCTCAGCCTCCCAAAGTGCTGGGATTACAGGCGTGAGCCACCGTGCCCAGCAGGTATATCTTTATTATAAAATCTGTATACTGATTTTGCATGTGTGAATAATTACATCAAAGCAAAAAAACTTAGACTTAAGCCTAAGTTAGTCACTAGTCAGCACTACAAGCAATGAAAAATTGAATTTTAAAACAAAATTTATTTAAAAGATCTAAAGCACTTCATTATAGGGAAATTTTATGTTTGTTAAGATTACAAAGAAATATGCATTTGGAAGACAGATCATTTAAAACACACTGCAGCCAAATGAAATTTGTAGAACATGTTACAAGATAAAAATCAATCCCCTCACTTATAAATTTAAGCCTCATTCTGGATATAATATTTAAAGACAGAATAATTTCACAGACTAGGGAGTCTGAAATGCATAGAAGGTGGGTCACACTAGACTGTCTAGATAATGCAGAATGGATACTGGTGGTGGGAGAGATTGGTTAGGTGTTAAGCCCTCCTGTGATGTGGTAGAACACAGTGCAATACTGTAAGCTCTTCTTGCAGGGAAGAATCAGTATATCGATTCTGCAGGGTGTAAACTTGTCTAGGTTGAACTATGTTTCCCAGAATCATTTGCCCTAAATGTTTCCCGTTACAGTGTACAGTATTGTTTGGCTCTGTGTCCCCACCAAATCTCATTGTAAAATGTAATCCCCACGTGTGGAGGGAGGGACTTGGTGGGAAGTGATTGGATTATGGGGGCAGTTTCCCCTATGCTGTTCTCATGATAGTGAGGAAGTTCTCATGAGACCTGATGGTTTAAAAGTGGCAGTTTCCCCTGCACTTTCTCTCTCCTACCACCTTGTGAAGAAGGTACTAAATTCTCCTTTGCCTTCTGCCATGACCGTAAGTTTCCTGAGGCATTCCCAGGCATGCGGAACTGTGAGTCAATTAAACTTCTTTGTTTTATAAATTACACAGCCTCAGGCAGTTCTTCATAGCAGTGTGAAACTGTCTAATACAGTTTATCACAGGAAATATTTTGTATGGGATTTGGCAGGTAGTAGAAGCAAAGCAGTAGCCATACTGGGTTTTGTATACCCAGAGAATCTGAGCAGGGTCACTAGGTGCTGTTAAAGGTTACCCATGTTGTCAATTATTGTTTGGCTTGGGATAGGAAGCAGGAATGCAGCTAATCTATTTTCCTCTAGATTCTCCTTCAGCTTGTCCATAGGCATTTAGCTTGGAGTTCAGTGAGAAGGGACAGGCATTCTGACCTGTCCTCATGGGTTCCAGCTTGTCCATCCTCTCCCCTACTTTAAATTCTTTCCTTCCTCTGCCTGCCCTTCAGACTTAAGCTCCAGCAATCTTCAGCAATCACTTAACCAGCTTTCACAACTGTGTATGAACAAATCTCTATACCAAATCTCTTATTATATATATTTTAAACTTCCTAATCATTCTGCTTTTCTGATTAAAATCTAAGTGATACAGTCAGGCTGAGTCAACTTGTTATTCAAGGGATGATAATTTTTTACACTTTTATCCATGATTGTTGGTGTGTATGCAAAGTAATTCTAACAAACTATTTTGGATATTAACTTGCATGACCAAGAAAGTGCATTTTACTGGAATTTAAGAGAAATAAGAACTGTTTCAATCAGTGTAACATGCATAAATAGTCACTTCAAAGGTTTAGTTTCTAAAAAAAAAATATGGTGAGCTATTTCAGTCATCAACATAATTTGTGACATGTCAGATGACTGGTATGTTAATTAGCCTGATTTGATCATTCCACAATGTTCACATCTATTGAAACATCATATTGTACCACATAAACATATACAATTATAATTGTTTATTTTTTCTTTTTGAAACATTTTTATCATTTTTGTAGAGATAGGATCTCGCTACGTTGCCTGGTCTCAAACTCCTGGGCCCAAGCCATCTTCCAGCATTTGCCTCCCAAAGTTCTGGGATTACAGGTATGAGCCACCACACTTGGACTAAAATTATTATTTGTAAATTAGATATAAAATAAAAATTCGAAAAAATTTTTAAAGGAGTGTATATTTACACTCACCCACTATCCACTGAAGAAACAGAACAGTGCCAATATTATCTAATACATTGGTTTGACACACCCAGGTCCTGTTTTCAATAACATCCTATTATATATCCTCCAAGAATAACCACTATTTTAATTTTTGTTTTGTTAGATCTTTGTTCCTTGATATGGTTTTAATACTACACACTTTTTTATATTATTTACTTTTGTATATTTTTGAACAATATATGAATAGTTCTGTGCTTTTTTTTTCCTTTTTCTGTTTTTTCAGTAAACTGCCTGAGTGCAAAATTCATCTTTTTTATTTATTTATTTATTTATTTATTTATTTATTTATTTATTTATTTTTGGAGATGGAGTTTTGCTCTTATTGCCCAGGCTGGGGTGCAATGGTGTGACCTTGGCTCACACAACCTCTGCCTCCCAGGTTCAAGCGATTCTCCTGCCTCAGCCTCCCGAGTAGTTGGGATTACAGGTGCCCACCACCACACCCAGCTAATTTTTTGTATTTTCAGTAGAGTCGGGGTTTCACTATGTTGGCCAGGCTGGTCTCAAGTTCCTGACCTCAGGTGATCTGCCTGCCTTGGCCTCCCAAAGTGCTGGGATTACAGGCGTGAGCCACTGCACCTGGCCCAAAATTCATCTATTAAACAAGTGTGGGGCACAAAGAATAACTTTAAAATGAACACCCATGAGCCATTGATCCAATTAAAGAAATGAAATATGACCATTACTTTTGAAGCTTCTTTCAAACTCATTTCTTTATATCCTCCTTTGAGTTAACTACTGTCCTAAGTATTATGTTTATCATTATGACACTAAGGGGCTTATTTTTGGCCTGTGTGTTTGGATACCTTAGTCTTTTGTTTCCCTGTGATTTTGGAGTCAGAGTTGCAGAGTATCATTTTTCATATATATCTTTTAAAATCAAAGTATTTCCTAAAATTAAAGTTTTAGTACCATTTGCAAGGTATTGCTAATAATAGATAAACATAAATATATAAGACCATAGCTAGAAATAGGTATTATGAGAAATGAGAGTTCATGACTCACCTGTCATTTTTTTTTTAATATTAGAGAGACCCCCACCCCCCCGGCAAAAACTCTGTATGAAACTCAGGTTATGAGCCACCAATGTATACTCTCTTCACCAGGAAAGTTTTAAATTAAAAAAAAATGTTGTAAAGATCCTACAATCTGGGCAATTACAGATTGCTCAATTAATATGGGGCTAATTGTTAAAAAAATATGATTATTAAATATTCAAACAGGAAGATACAAATTTGTAAAAATTTGGAGAGTCCATTTTTAAAAATTCTCCTGTTCTGTTTGACATCCAATGGCTAATCAGTATTAAGAAATCTTTGTGAGACTCTGAAGTTGTTTAAATCCATTCATAAGATAATTATTACACAATTTCTATGATATTCCTATTGTTCTAAGTGCTATATATAATTTTTGCTCTTAGAAGAATCAAAGTAATTATATAGGAACTAGCAAAAATACGATGAATATATATTCATATGTATTATATGCATGAATATACAACATATACATACATATTCATGTCTACATCCTCATTTAGTCAAATAATGCAGTTAAGGTAAGAATGATCAAATCAGAATCAGGAATAGAGCAACTAATTGGCTGAAGTCACCAGGGAAACCTTAATAAAGTGAAATTTATTATGAGCTGTGGCAGACCAATTGGATTTGGAAAACAAAGAAAAATGAACCAAAGCTCCAGGAACAAGAAACACACACACACACACACACAAACACACACACACACACACACACACACACACACACACACTCCACAAAATGAGTATCTTTCTTGGTCTAGGATAATAGAAACAAGTAAAAAGCTAGGTGGAGAATGAAAACAATGTATAATTCATATGCAAAAGATAAATATCAGTTATAGAATTTAGGCTGAAGTTGGCAGGGATAGAAAAAAGTCCAATTTTAAGTCAATATTTAAGAAGGACTTAGCTCTTCAGTTAAGGCATGATTGTTGGCATCTGTTTTAAAGTTACTCATTTATAGAAGTTATTCCTTTTCCTGTAACTGTTTATAGACTTCAGAATCCTAAGTCTCATATATTGAGGTTGAACTTGGTTTGTGTTTCTTCAAAAACATATAAATAAATAAATAATCTAGAAGTACTGCCTGTCCATGGTAAAAATTTGAAAAATTTGAAACGATCATGGAAAATTATATTGAATATTCTGATGTCGTTAAATTTGAAAACATGATTTTTATTGATGACATAATAACCAACCATATGGATGCATTTTATTTAATGATTCTTCAGTTAGAAGAATATTGTAAATACAGCTATACAAACATACATCAAAATGTAAATTCAGAGAAGCAGTAAGAGGTTTAAAGTAGTTTTTTGATGCATAAATAAAATATTTACTATTTGCTTTGCTACCTGGTTCCTAACAGTATGCCAAAAATGTGTATTATACATTCTAAACATTCAGAATCCAATCTTTCACTCAGCATATTTGCTGGCATTTTGTTTCTATCAGCAAACAGGTAGATACAGCCATATAAGGCTGAAGACTTATTGGCCATTGAAGCAATCTGAGAAAGTATAGATATTTTAAATAGATTTAACTTTCACATGTGTTGTTTGTCTCCAGTCTTAGCCAGTAAGGATGGGAAGTAGTGATTTGGAACTGAGAAAGGGAAACTGAATAATATGGAAAGTCACACTGGCAAAAATACTGTGTGTTAGGCAGCAAATACATTACCATTAGTAATTCTAAAACTACAGTATAGTTTAATGGACACATAACAACCAAAAGTGAATACTAGTTCACATAAACCCAACTTTGAATAAAGGGCCTAAGTTCAATTAATTTCTTTAAATGCTAAAGAACAAGAGATATTTACTGATGGATCCTAACAACCAGGTCCCAAGCCTCACATCCTTACAACTGTCATTCTCTAGAAAGACCACTGAGACTAACCCTAGAACATAGTCCATTCTGTTTGCCTCAGTCACCTGAAGATACTTGAGACATCCCAATCAACCCTCATTACCTAGACTCTCCCTCTCCCCACATCCTCACACCTGCTCAGTGTTTCCTGAAAAGTGAGGATGTGGGGCCTGGAATGAGTCAGGGGAGAAGAGAAGGAGCCGAGAGAGAGAAAGAGGAAAGTCTTGACAGAAACATGTGGAATGCTTTATTTTCACACCTGTCCATATTGCTGTCAGCACCATTGCAGGAGTGGTGTCACCGGGAATACATGGTGCTCTGAAGCTCCCGGAACATATGAGATAAAATTGCTCCATGGGGGAAGTCAGCTGGAGTCTCACTGCCTGAAACGTTCAGCTGAGTCAAATAAAGATTTTTGAGTTAGAAAGTGGCATGATTGAGCCTGTCATCTTGGAAAGAATATGATAAAGAAATGTACCCTAAAGAAAATTGACAGTGCTTTCCAAGCCTTTGATTGTGCTCAGTGGGCTTGGCTGAAAAATAGAATTTAAAATAGAATTCCCATTTTTAACACATAGCTGGTTTCCATTTAGCATGGAACTTCCTCCCTAGGCTACTTGCATTTGAAGAGGATAAGTTTACCCTGAAGGAATGACAGATGCACTGTGGAGGTTACAAGCTTGTATAGATGACTATGGCAGCAGCAGCAGAACTGAATGAGGGAACTGACATTGCCAAGAAAAAAAATGTCCTGATTTATAGAGAATGTGATGATTTACAAATAGAGGAGGAACAGGTTCTGGGGGGAAGGCTAGAATATGTTGAGCATCAGACCCTGTAGATGTGCTTATCTTATTGAATCCTCACAACAATCCCAGGAGTTTCTATAATTATGTTCAATACACAGATGAAAAAATTCAAACATAGAAATTAAAAAGTAATATTCTGCTCAATAGCCAAAGCTAGTAAGCAGATCTCAGAGATGAGTCTATAGTTAAAGACCTATGTAATAAAACTGCATGTTCTGCACATGTACCCAAGAACTTAAAGTATAATAAAAAATAATATTTCTCCACTGAATCATAATAAATAGTTGTGTTAAAAAAGAGTATAGGCAACAGATTAACTTCATTATGAACATACTTCGTAACTATAGGGTACTATTCTGGGGGTGGGAGGGACATATAATGATAAACTCACCTGACCATTAAAAAAAAAAAAGATTCAGATCTTAAAGAATACAGAGGGTACTTAGGCCAGAGTTAGAGGTAGAATTACCCAGAGATTATATGCAAAAGAAGAGAACAGCAGGCAGATCTTGAAGAATAGATTCATTCAATAAGAAACCAGCAAAGCATATTAAACAGGATCATTCAAAAAGTGTAAGGAAAACCAGTAGTTTTTAGTAAATCTGAGTGAAGAAAGATCAGAATTTCAAGAAAGTGACAGGCGATATCACCAAATATAGTAATGAGACTAAATGACATATGTCAAAAAGGTTGGCAGATGTCTCTTTCTATAATGGAACTGAGTACTCTAAAAATTAATATTTCTTTCTTAATCCTTAATTTTGTTTCTGTCACCTTTGCAATAATTGTTTCAACTTTTCTCAGGTAGTCTGCATAATTGGCTATAAGAATTGTTTTACTTGTATTTAGGTATGTGCCTATACTTAAAAAAAGGAGTTATGATGGATATTACATTGCTTCATCTTTACGTAATAAGAATAAGCATCTAAGCACGTAAATGAAAAGAAGTCCTAGAATTAAACTCAAGCTTCATGTTACAATATTGCCTTGAACAGCATTGGATTCTGAAGTAGAAGTTTATTTGTAGGTGTCATTTTTTTTCCTAATAGAATATTAAATAATCAGACCATACAGACTAGTTATTGTAGAATGTGGCTTAATACTTATACCTACCTTTCTTCTTCTCCGGTTTTTAAAATGGAAACATTGGTTAAAAGTAAGCAAGCCATGAGAATGTCCTGTGTGCTCTGTATGTTAATGCATATGTAGAAACTACTGCAGGAATCTTTATTCCTGAAGAAGCTACTGAAACATCACACTGTATAATTCATTCAATTAATTCATTATTCCACATATTTTCACCAGATATTGTATTGCGTTATGTTAATAGAGATTAGAAGCATGGTTGCTTATCACAGCAACCCCAAGGCCTAGCAGAGAAAAAGAAAATATGAATTGTCTCACTATATTTATAATAAAAGTTAGCAGAAAATGCTCTGCAAACTCAATGAAGATCCAACTCATATAGAGTGGGGGATGAGACTCAGGGAAGGCTTTTCAGAAGCAAGTGACAACTGAGTTGATCCACGAAGAATCAGTGTTAACCAGTCAAAGCAGAGCATGCTAAACTGAAGGCAAGTTTGACGGGGTATTTACTATAACCACAGGAAAATGTGCACAGAAGCGGGGTCATGACTGAAACATCAGAGAAGGCTCAATAAGCAAGCCTTTGCTCTCCCTCATCTCCTAGAATAGTCTCTTTATTTTGTGATTCAAGATAAAAAACAGACCTTTAGATATTAAAACTTAATATTGATTTTTTTAAAAGCAAACACAAATTTTACATTTAGATTTAAATGTCAAATATAAATGTATATTGAATAATTATTAAG
The DNA here is from genome assembly GCF_000001405.40 of Homo sapiens. Taxonomy (NCBI): domain Eukaryota; kingdom Metazoa; phylum Chordata; class Mammalia; order Primates; family Hominidae; genus Homo; species Homo sapiens. The sequence continues at coordinate 82,982,675 of NC_000007.14, forward strand.
GTAGACTGGCTATTTAGCATTAAGACATGCATTACTTTTATGGTAAAATTAATACTGTCTAATATATGCGTAACATTTTGGTCATATTTTAATATAATTTGATATTACTGATATTCTGGTACAATCTATGAAATTCAGAATATTTACTGTCTGCATTGTCCCAGGGTTAGGATTTACAATTAACCTTTATGCTCCCATAGTGAGGTGCTCAGATATAAAATGTTAATGAAATAATAGAATTTTAAATGTAATTTTATTTTATATAAAGTTTTTATCTATATTTTAATTTTCTCACCTGTGATTGGGAAAATTAAATTAACACCTACTCTAATAACACTGATGTATTATGAAAAATAATGAGGTAAAAGTTACCTAGTAAACTGTAAAGCAGTCTATAAATTTAAGATATTTTAAAATTGCTTTTATTTATATTTTTAAAACATGATCTTAAATGGGCTCATAATTACTCTTTATTCACATTGAGTACAAAAAATTGCCTTTTATAAATATATAATTTATTAATCAAAATATCATTTTATATTCACTCTATATTGTTAAGTTTTAAGGCAATCAATCCTAAAACTATTTTTTAATTTTTTTGGTTTAACCTATACTTATAATTAGCACTCTATCCAGTTTTGAAAAACTATCTTTCTATGACAATTAACCAATGTGTAAGGTTCTAAAAAATATATATGTTCCCTCTGGCTTTATTTAATAAAATATACTTCATAATAAACAATATTATAGCTAATGTTTAATTTATTAAAATACTTATTGCACATTCTATTTAATTTGTTAAGAATTAGAAATTTGGGAAAAGGAATGTTATAAATGTTAACATTTTATTAAATAATATACAAATGGCCTTAGCAAAAATATTACAGATCTAGCTAAAATTATATTTTATAATTAGCCAAAATGGTAAGTTTTTATATTTATTTATATTTATATATGTATATATTATATAGTTATTTAAAACATGAGTTTATAAAATGTATCATCATGTTAGCAGGTGGGAATGAAGTCTTGGACAAGGCACAAAAATGAAAGAAGAAAACGGTATTTCTAAGGACATAATCAATGCTTAATTCAAAAGAATCATTTTTTCCAAATGTATTTGAGTTATATGTTCTTTTACATTCTGTGTGAAAGTCAGGATAATCTCACTGCAGCAATTCTAAGAACAAGTGAAGATGTTATCATCCTAGACTGAATAGGGCTAACCTCAAAACATGAATATATTCTGGCAGTTAGTAGGAAAATAAATTAGAAAAACTGACACCTTGAGAAAGAGCTGAATTCAGCTTCATTTGACACTCTGTTGGGACTTAACTATATTAAAAAAATGCTGTTAGATTCAAATCCTAGCTAGGAGAAAAAAATGTTGCCTTTTAGAATAATTTTTCATCTATAATCATAATATCTAACTATGGTTATAACAAATACAGACAATTTAGTTATGTGAAGAAATTAATTTCAATACTTAACTAATCAAGTCATTTCAAAGGTGGACTCTTAATGTGAAAAATTTTCTTTCACTTTCCAAGAGTTACCTACTTTTATGGTACCCTTCTCAAATATTAAGATTCCAAGGAACATATTTGTTTTAATTATTCAATCATTACCTCTCATTAACAATTATTATCTTGAATTATTACAAAACAGATTTTAATTCTCTTATGGTATTGTCAAAACTGTCTATTCACCTTAGTTTATTTCAAATGTGGTGTCTGTGTGTGTGTGTGTGTGTGTGTGTGTGTGTGTGTGTGTGTTATGGAAGGCAGAAGATTCATTTTAAAAGGGGGAAAAATAAGCATTGCGGTCAAGGGCCTAAGAATAGACATCTTGAGCATAACTCCAGAGACACTGTCATTATTGTAATAAACTTGAGGAACAAAAGTGCATCATTCACCACGTGACAAGGTCCAGTACTATGAGCTTTAACTTGCCTGTTTCGTTATTTTGTTTATTTGTTTTTCACAGCTTTCTGCTAAATCCTTTGCTCACTTAGCTAACATTTAGGCCTATTTTTCTCTTAATTTGGGTGTAATATAACACAGTCATGCCTCTATCCCTGGGAAAACTTGTCTTTTATTAAGGCCTATGCCTGCTTCTTGCTACTTCTGAAGTTGAGCTAGGAACCTAGTTATTTGAATGAATATTATTTTGAATGATAACACTGATTATATTTTGATTTGAAAACTATCCTTGAGTAGGCAATGTATGTCAAATTAGAAATATTCTTAGAGTACTGCATAAAATCAAGAATGAAACTTAAAATAGTTTCTACTGATAAAATTGAAAGAATATTACAATTACCATTTCCATTTTATTTCCCAATCATTCCTAAACTGGAATGTTTTCTTATAATAACTGACTGAAACTAGTTAGCCAAACTAATGTTGGTATGAAACTAGAAATAGATCCTCAGAGAGAGCACCTACTGACCTGATACATGGCCATGTTTCTGAAAATGTCCTCAATAAAGGCTGATGGTATAGTGCCAAAGCTCAATCCATGAAAAGCAATTATAATGGCACAGAGGTAGGGCAGACAAGGTAATAGTATATAGGCTCTCTGATGTTCTGTTTTAGTCACAGAGTACATTTAAGAGGATCAAAAGAATGAATGGACTGAACATCCTTCAAGCAAACTGCCATGGTATTTATTTTGGCCAAGCTTTAGAAAAATTTGACCTGAGGCTGATTCAGGAATATTCTGTGACAGGCACCTGGAGTGCAGTTATTCCATGCAGCCAATTAATTGGAGAGCCATATGTTTTAATATTTAGCCAAAGTGGGGTTAGCACTGATATTTTTTATATTATCTTGTGGATGCTGATTAGCTCAACAAGAGTATATGCTGAATAGACAAGGCTGTGTCGTTTTCTGCTTGCTTTCTGTGATGTCTACCACAGATTCATAAAGCATTTTAAGTAAATAATGAGTCAAAATTGGCAATGCATGTGGCATTAAATTGGCATGAATCCAAAGCTGCACATATTCCTAAGGAGTAAAAATATTATAGATCAAATAGGAAAAATAAAATACAAATGTCTTTTGTTTTAAGAATGTGTAAGGGTAGAAAGTCGAGACTTTTTATTTATTAAAAATATCTCACAGTATGTCCACAACATGTAATTAGAAATCACTCTGCATTTCAACCAGGTAATTAAAATTAGAGATAATACTGTTGTCTAGTCTCATGCATACTTTTTCGATTTTTGTAAATCTGAATAAATCTATTATTTTTAGAAACAAATATTCATTTTAGTGTTAACTTTAAAAGAGAAAATATATCCAATAAATGTTGAATCAAATTTTTTCTTATTTCTCACAGAGCTTTTTATATCATGATTACTAATACCTTATAATTTAGGGTAAATCATTTGATGAGATTAAATTTTTCTTATAGTTACTTAGAAAAGTCATGAATGAGGTTATGACTACATTCAAGAAGGATGAATGAGAAAAAACATAAGAATTCTCTAATCATTACAAAAGGATCACTGGAAACATAAAACAGATTATAGGTTGCTTTTGTTTTTAAACCTGTTTTAGTAAGTTATGATCATTATATGCATATTTTTGCAGATGGCCTCATTCATACATGATTTGTAACAGCTTTCTTCCCAAACAGATTTTTTAAATATGCACCAAAACAAATTAGAAATATGCTCTTTTAATGAACAAAATAGGATTTTTTTGTAAGTCCAAATACGCTTGCTCTAAAATAGAAAACCAATTTGTATTCCTTAGAGACTGAACTATATTTGAGAATTAAGGGGGTTCACTGACACACAGAAGAGGGATTCTCTTAACTCTTTTATATTTAAATTATTCATTTAAAATAACTTCATTTTGATATTTACCTGTTTTTCACTTTGTATTATTAGTATTAAGAGCAGATCTAATTCTGGCATTGTTCATTTATACAGATGCACAAGATGCTGAATAAATTCATTCAAATGAGTTAAATATAAACATTTTACAAATAAAATTTAAGGCACATTTAATTAAAAGTTGAGTTGATGTCTAAAATGGGGATAGATTGATGAAGGAAATTCATAATTTTCAAATTCAAAATGAATAATTCTTTACAAACACAGAATTTAGGGAATGATATGGGATATTATATCAAATTATTGCAATATAATTATTGATGACCCAGGAATTTTATTACATCTAGAAATGAGTCTCATTCCATTAAATGAGCCTGTGACATTTCATAGAGGCAAATGAAAATTTGCAAGGACAGAGCAAGACTTTAATAGTAAAATAATTATTCTTACAATCTCTATTAAACATCTATTTTTCAAACCAAAACAGGTGAACTATTATAAAGGGAAGCATATGCCATTTCGTCAGATTAACCATATTTTACACCTAAATGAATCATGGTAGATGGTAGAAACATATAATGCATGTAATTTGTGTACCTGTTTAAACTATCAATTTCCACAGATGGAAATCTGAGGATACCAACATTTTGGCTGGATTTTACAAATAACATTATGACAAAGTAGTTAATACTGTGGCATAGATAAGACATAAAATAAAATCTTCATATTTATTGATTCTAGCTACTTGATTTTTAGAAAAAAATCCTCTCAGTTTCTAAAATGGAGACAACAGACTTATCACATGAGTTCTGGGGGACTTAAGTAAAGTAATGCATACATAATGTTTACCAAAACAATTGTCAATAGTATGTCAGATATAAATGGGGTAATACTGTGTGCATGCAGAAAAAAATAAACAAATAATTTAGGGTTGATCTATTTGCTTTATATTATAAAGTCTATTGTATGCCAAGAATAAGTATGTGAAGATATAATTGCACTTACTGAACAGAACTCTGGTTAATCTGGTAATACTTTGGCATCAAGCAGTAGACTCCTAACGTGCAATTTTAAATAGTACTAAGTTATGTAGCCAAACATACAGATAAAACTTGATCTAAAAAAAAGCTTCACAATATACTAGAATTTCACAGAAAAAAATCCTAATTCAAAGAACTTTGCATAAATATGTTTTGCATTAAGTAAATTTATCAGTTCCAACCAACAATCAGTATAGGTTAATGCTTAAATATGAAATTAAAAGTAGAAAATATTAAGTATCTTATTTTCCCCATGTTCTTAGTTCTTTCCCATTCACAAATAGAATTGTTCTTAGTTAACACAGAACAAGAGTTAAAGGGGGAAAAATAAGTAAAATGAAGGTAAAATCAGTCATATCTTACATGCTAATGGTAGCTAACACTGTGAACAGTGTTTAAAAACATGGAGACAGCATATTATCAAACACCTAAGTTAAACTGATTAGATTATTATAACTAAACAAAATGAATGAGTATGGATATACTATTTATATACTTTTTTTCTATACTATTAAATAGTTTATATAAAATTTAGGTTATTTTGGTCTCTTAATCTAGTGATCCTCCCACCTCAGCTTCTGAAGTAGATGGGACTACAGGCATGTACCATCATGACCAGCTAATTTTTCTTTCTTTTTTAAAAAAAATTTTAGTAGAGATGAGGGCTCACTGTACTGTCCAGACTGTTCTTAAACTCCTGACTCAAGCCATCCTTTCACCTCGGCCTCCCAAGGTGCTTACAGGCATGAGACCCCATGGCTGGACCCAGCTGATATTTTAAAGATAGAAAATAATAATTGAAAACTTAGTGGAAGAAAGAAGAAAAAATAATCAGATATAAACTTATAATTTATTACATGTTATTCCAATCTATTGTTCTATAAATATTTTAATAGAGTTGAGACCATATAATACTCATTCACTCTATCAATCATCTATGCCAGGGGAATTATATGTTCATTTAGTACCTAAATAATTGTTTTTGCTGCTTCCATTTAACCTTATAACATGAGTACAATCAGTATTATTTTTAAAAATATCTTGAGCTATCATTGAATATAGTAATATTATATTAAAACATGAAAATATTTAACCATTCTTCAATTATGATACATGTAAGGTATTTCCTGTTTTCACTATCACAACTCTTAAATTATGTTTCTAGGGCCATCACAAATCTATTTGTAACACTTATTTGATTGAGTCAGGGTTTTCTTTTCAGAACATTTACTTCTCAAGGAGCAGAATTTATTTTTTTTTATTTTTTATTTTTTTATTTTATTTTTTTTCTTTGAGACGGAGTTTCGCTCTTGTTGCCCAGGCTGGAGTGCAGTGGCGCGATCTCGGCTCACCGCAACCTCTGCCTCCCGGGTTCAAGCGATTCTCCTGCCTCAGCCTCCTGAGTAGCTGGGATTACAGGCATGCACCACCATGCCTGGCTATTTTTTTTGTATTTTTAGTAGATATGGGGTCAGGCTGGGTCTCGAACTCCTGACCTCAGGTGATTCGCCCTCCTCGGCCTCCCAAAGTGGTGGGATTACAGGCATGAGCCACTGCGCTTGGCCAAGGAGCAGAATTTCTAAACCACATGTAGATCTTTCTAAAGGAAAAAAATGTAAAACTTGAGATTATTGTTAACTGCTATCTGGTGAAAGGCAATAGTTGTTTTTTCTGCTTTACAGAAAAGACAAAATCATTTAGGGCAAAAGCAATCCAATGAAGTACTAAAACTAAAAAAGAAAACACTTGAATTTCTTGAGAAATTACTTCTAGTTAAGAAAGGTTCTACCATTTTATTAACTCTTTGGGGGCAGAAAAGAAAATGTTATAATCAAAATCTATTTTAAAATAGAGAACTTGAAAATTATAATAATCATATGAATTGCTTCTAATTCCTTAAAAGTATATAATTGATTCAAATTAATATATTTGAATATGTTCATTTGAATATAATTTACTCAAATGAAATATGGCATTCTCAATAAAAGAAAAAATAATTTTTAATTGAGATATTTATTTTTCACATGTAATTTTAAATAAATAAAAATTAACTGTATTTATTCTCATAATATGATCTTACATCTACTAATACCAGAAGTTATTTTAGGTAAAACATTTATAAAGTTACCAGATATATAATCTCTGTAGACAGTGAGATGCTATTTTTGAAATATCAACTGATACATTTCTCTTGTGAAATTTCCCTTCTCCTTTCCCTTTATTTCTATCAGACAGTTTATTCCGTGTTGAGTGTCATGAGGAAGAGTTATACTATGGTCCAAAGATTTGAATCTGGTAGTCTCTCAAATTCTTCTTTCCCCAAACCTCAAACCATTAAGGAGATTATGTTTTGATTGCCTGCAGCATCACATAGGGAGTACTTCAGACTGGAAAATATTAAAACTTAAGAGTAAAGAATTTCCTCTTTAGTAGAAAAAGATTTCCTAGGATCAAGTAATGAGAGAGACTGAAGGAAGTTTGTGGGAAAATAGTGAAATTAAGGGGGAAGGGGACTTTAAGTTAGACTTCCTAGGAAAATGCCTCAATAGGTAGCCATGAAGATACCCTCCCCAGAGAGGTTGTAGGAGTTGAGGGCAAGACCCAGAGAGTCAATGAATTCACTGTGTAGGTATACAAGACTATTGAGGATCTAGCAGAGTTTTACATATCCAAGAATGACATCAAAGCAACAGAAACATTTCTGTGCCCCCTTTATGGCCTCCTAAACTAACTAAACCATAGAAACAGGAAAATGGATGGCTTACTAAAATGTGTGGACTAAGATCAAGGACAAGATGGATTTTTCAATATTTATCTTATAGACACAATTTAATTACCAGACAGGTAATTAATTACTACCCTGTACTCTCACCTTTTATATACCCACTGGATCTTGTATATAGTGGGACCTATCTTAGGAGGATTCTAAATTGGTTCAGATTAAGTTTTTACTGAGATAATGAATGGGACTCAAAATAGAACTTGAGTTTGGTTACAGACAAATAATTAAGTAGAACTTGTCACTTGCACATCCAAGACTGTTAACAGAAATCCGTAACTACTACAAATAGAAAAACTTTTGTCCTCTACCATGTATTTAACAAAAACTTTATTTTGTATAATAATGTATGAGCTGTTTGCATAGTTGGTGTTATGATTGATTATATATGCTATCTCCCCAGAGATACTTAAATGTGACTATGCTCTCTGAGAAACATCATGAAGCACTGATATAATTAATATAGCATATAAACTGGGAAAACATTATTAGAAAAACATCATGATAAAATAGGCAAATAAGATCACCCCCAATGTCATACATATCCATAACAATAAAGCAAATTATCAAACAAAAAGCATGAGTTCTTGTTCAAAATTGATATTCATTTATTTCTTACTTACTAATTTTAGAATGAGCTAATAGACCAGAAGTAATATTTACTCAAGTTCAGTAAAAAGTAGTCATTTGTTATTCTATTTAATTATTCAATAAACGTTGATGAACAAGAATGTTATTCATAAAAATAACTATAAACAATAATGTTCTAAGAATTCTTTCTATCCAATGGGGATAAAATGTCAATTAGCTGTGGCCTTTTTGCCCAGCTAACTGTGTATCTCTGCATCTTTATGTGTCTATTTATAGTATCTATCTGTCTATCTATCTATCTATCTGTGTTGTTACCACATCATTGAAATGATATGCCTTTTATGTAGATTTTATATAGGTTTATCATACAACATTAGTATCTTGTTGCGCCACTGCACTCCAGCCTAGGTGACAGAGGGAGACTCCGTCTCTAAATAAATAAATAAATAAATAAAGTCATGAAACATTGATGTTATAAGTGGTCATTTAAAATTTAATACCATGAATACTTACTGACTGGCAATTTATTCACATCTGGGGGCCACTATTCCTTTTTACTATCATGAACCCTATAAATGAAAGTCTTTGCTCATAACTACCTTAATGCTGAGATAACAATATATTTAAATAAACTTTGTATTGCAACTTTTTAAAGAGTTTTCAAAGATATTCACTAGAATGGGAAGTATATGTAAATTCTAAACACTGTGGGATCATAAAGTGATTTTAATTAAACTTTTGTAGTATATTTTGGCCATATTCAAAGGAGATACTGCTCATTTTGAAAACAGATTATCAATAAACTGTGTGGCACCATAATCATGTTGCTATGGAACAACTAGCCTCCCTTCCCAGGGGCAATACTTCATAATGCAAATATAAAATATTCTCAGTACCAACACCTGCTTAAATTAGTTTCATAGGGCAATTATGTCAGGCTTCTTATATATTCCTATAGGTACTTTAAACTATTTTATGGCATTATCCTGTAAACTTTTGAAAACTGCATATTACATGACAATCTATTAGTGGCTCAAGAGACATACCACTGTGAGTTTCAGGGACTCAGACATCTTCTTTTGCCTATGTCAAAAAAACATATTTTAAGAAAGATTTTGCATCTTCATCTCAATACAATAATTGCAATGAACACCTTTTCAAAAACAGAATGATAATTATTACTAAAAAGAAATTTCTTGTTGTTTCCATTTGCCTGAGTGACTAACAATGGTAAACTGATTGATTACCTTGGTCCCACACCATTGGAACTATGTGTCCTAGTATCTCTGGCCTTTGTTCCACAGACTACTACAAAGAAAGATGTAGGTTCATCCTCCTTGTCTACCTCAAAGATCATAAAGACTCATCTCTGGAGGGGAAAGAAGACAAATGAGTACCCTCTCTGTGCCTGCTGCTCTCCACAGTTAATATCAAACAAAACAGTCATTATTTAAGATGAAATGATGACCAAAAGTTGTTCAAATGGTTTATTATAGTGTGTTGTAATAATGGAACATCCTATCTATCCTGGATTTTAAAGTTGTCATACTAGACAGACAAGCCTGGGTACCTTATAAGACTTCAATAAAAATTGATGCCTCATAGTTCAACTCCTACTTATGAGTGAGAACATGCAGAGAACATCACACACCAGGGCCTGTCGGGGGGTGTGGGATAAAGGGAAGGAGAGCATTAGGACAAATATCTAATGCATGCGGGGCTTAAAACCTAGATGACGGGTTCATAGGTGCAGCAAACCACCATGGCACACGTCTACCTATGTAACAAACCTGCACATCCTGTACATGTATCCCAGAAGTTAAAGTAAAAGAAAAAAAAATGATGCCTTACTTTTTGTGAATTCCCACAGATTACTGACATTCATATTACTGCTACTCTTTTAAAGTACATTCATTCACCAAGGAATTGTTTTAAAGTAATTTCAGATGTTTTCTGAAATAGCACAAGAATCATCTGGTAATCAATGCATCCATATTAAATGTGTTTGAGGGCCACTTAAATGATTAAATATATCTAAAGTTAACACATTTGGTAATCAATATGTGCTCAGTATTGTCTCTATACATACATGGCACAGTCAGAGCCACATGTTTAGAGTCACTAAACATTGTATTTGATCTTCCCTCCCAAGCTGAAACTCTAACCACATATTATTGAAAATATGTAGTTTTTCCCCCTTCCTCTAGATTGTACCTTTATAATTCTATATATTCAATGCAACTTAATATCTCATTATAAAATTTCTTATATTGGCTAAATTTTTTCATATGTCTTACTCAAAAACAAAATTTATATAGAGATATAATAAATGCAATATATTTCTATAGAATATAAAAAAGTGAAAGATCTGGCCTTGTCTACAAAGATATTTTTAATTACAGGATCTTCATTGCTATGAATCTGCAACACAAGGAACTAAGCTGACATGTTTTGTTTCATAATCAGGAGCAGATATGGAATAGAGTAAGGCTTTGGCATTTTTTTAAAAAAAGCCCTGAATTTGAATTTTGGTTCTGCCACTTATTAGTAGTTTAATCTGTATATATTATTTAATCATTCTAACTTTCTCTTTCACGGTAGGAAAAATAGTGGAAATAATTAACAAGCAGCAAATGAGACTTTTTTTTTAGCAATAACGTCTTTTTAAATTAAGGCATGTATATTTTTTTTAGTCATCAAAATGTGATTGCACACTTAATAGACTACAGTATAGTGTAAACATAACTTTTATATGCATTAGGAAAACAAAAAAATTCATGTGACTCACTGTTTTGCAATATTCGCTTTATTGTGTTGGTGTGGAACTAAACCAGCAAAGCTGTAAGATATTCCTGTATTCAGAAGTATTTTTGAATAAATGAATGATATGTATTCATGTATCCATTCATTCACTCATCTTTTCACTCATTCAAGGACAAGGATAAAGCTGGAAGCCATCATTCTCAGCAAACTAAAATGAGACTTCTAACACTATTTAAGAATGACAATAAACTAGGCCTTGTCATAATAAGAGAAAACTATCAGGAAGAAATAAAGGAGATAAATAATTGGGAAAGGTAGTTGATGCAATATTGGGAGACAAAGGTTGAAATTAGGGCATTTAAAATATCGAAATAAATGTTGACATTTTTGAATGAAAGGAAGTTTTGTCTTACTACATGAAGCCATAATTTTAGACTCAATACAAGATATAACACAAATATAAAAAGTCTCAAAATACAGCAAACATATTTGAAAATATTAATCATTCAATAACTATATTGATTAATGTGCTAGGCAATACAACAGTGAACAAACAGATACAATTTAAGTGAGATAATGGTAAACAGATAATGACAACATCAGTAATTAATTAAAATTATGGATAATATTAGGAAAAATAAGTCCTCTGTGTTATGGAAAGGGAGGTGCAACTTAGATATTCAGGAAAGGAAAGTCTTCCAAAGGAAGTGACGTAAGAGCTAAGAATTAAGTAACGAAAAGGGTAAGGTGGCTAAACTGTGAGGCTGAGGCTCTTGGGCAAAGGGCCTTGTAAGCTACATGAAGAATTTTAAACATACTACTAAAGCAGTTAAGAGACCATCAAACAGTTTTTGACGAATAAATGACTTGATCAGATAATTATTTTATTTTTTATATATATTTTTATTTTGGGGGTTCATAGTAGGTATATATATATATTTATGGGGTATATGAGATGTGTTGATACAGGCATGCAATGCATAATAATCACATCATGGGAAATGGGATTATCCAACCCCTCACAGATAACCATTTTCAAAATATCACTTGAGGTGAAAAATGGATTGGAGTGAGAAACCAAAGTGCTATAGATCAGGTGAGAAACTGAAGGTAGTGGGGAAAAAACGATGAGAATAAGAAAGTAATTTGAGAAAGAAAGTACAAAACCGATAGAATTTAACGTTGGACTGAATGTGGATAGTGAGAAAAAAGGAAATGTAAAGATTATTCTGTAATTACTGGCTTGGATTTCTGGGTGGATTACTGTGTTATTTACTAAGATAGCAAGAATATGGAGGACAAAATATTTTGACCTCCAATATTGTAAAGGCAATGTTTAGGCTATGAAGTGATGATGCTGAGGTAATTGAATATATGGGTCTGAAGCTCAGAAAAGAGATATGATACAGAGATGCATATTTGGGAGTTACATTGAATACATGATGTGTTAAGCCATGGAAATGGATGAACTCTTTGGGAAAAGATGTACAGTGAGGAGACATGAAGGTCTATGACTGAAGCTATATAGCCTTTAGAATCTAGGTTGAAGATAATGGTCCAGTACTGGATGCTGAGGGGTAGGCAAAGCCAGAGGTGGAACACAGGAAAGAGAGCTGCACCATAGAAACCAAGAGAAGAGAGTAAAAGAGGAATAGGCTTTTGCCAGGGTTGGTTAACAGCGCAAATAAATTGGAAGCCAGGGTGTCCGCTGGATTGAAATTCATTACACTTTAGCAAGAACCAATGGTTTTGATAAATTGGTGTAAGAAAGTGCTGGATTGTGGTTTGTCATGAAGTGGCTGGAATATGAGAAAATGCAATCATAAAACACAAGTAGCTCTTCTGAGAAATCTAGCGTGAAGGGGTGGGTGGAAATATTGCAACTACTTGATGTGGACATGATATCAAAGGAAAAGCAATATATTTGTGACACTTTTCAAGGTCACAAAATCTGAAAGCAGATGGTCTTTGATTGGACCCAAGGCTGCTACTTCCTAATTGTGTGGTCTTCACTAAGTTACCCATTTTTTTCTGTGTCTCACTTTCTTCATATTAAAACTGGTAATGATAATAGTACTTATCTCATTCAGTTTTGTGAAAAAATTGTATTGACATATATAAAGTACTTAGATCCATGCACGGTATATAGTAAACATTACATGAGGGTTTCTTAATGTTTTGTTTGACATATAAGTATGTTTAGTACGTACAAATGTCTATTGGAAGAATCCAATAAAGGAGAATGAAAATAAAATATATGTTTATCATTATATTTAAGGGGAGAGGTACTGGATAATTCTCATCCTTTTTGCTTTAGAATAGGTTCTATTTTTTATAAGTTACATGTTATAGCTTTTATAATACAAATACTATATATTGTTTTAGAAAATATGCATGTCATTAAAATTGTGTAAAATATTTTAAGAAATGAATGTCAAAAATAAAACAGGAATATAAATATGATCTGATTTTGCTAAAAATTATGCAAAATACTAAAATAAGATTTACCAAAATATTAATAGTAGCTAATTATAAATGGTAAGGTTATTGTTTCAATTTTATTTTCAGTACTCTTGGGTATTTTCTAAATTTTCTATAATTGGCATTAATGGTTTTTTTATAAGAGGAAAACATTTATTTTAAAAATTAAAGATATTTTATTGGGAGCTTGAAAGTCCAAATATTAGGACTTAATTAAAGTCTAAAGGTACTTAATGAATATAGAAGTACTGAACCCATAAGTGTTAGGTTACCGTGTCAGCACTAGGCTTTCTATCCAAATCCTTGATGCTTGGCAATAATCTTGTTAGCTCTACACTGCCGTCCAAACAATCTTGATAAAATGTAAATCTGTGTATGGCAAACTCCTATATTGCTCCTCCTTCCTTATGAATAAAATAGCCCATTTGTAAGCCCTGCCATACACATTCAATACACAATCTCTTTTGTGGCTTGATTTTCACATGGTTTCTTTGCCCAGAAGTCCTTCCTTTCCTTTCGTACATAGCCAAATTCAACCCATCCTTCAAACAACAGGTTTTTTAATACTTCCAAAAGATACTATAGTGACTTTCTCTTTGTGTAAGTCTCCCTTGGACTCTTAACCACTTTCAAAGAAGGACACATGTGTGGCCATGTACACACAATTTCTATATCTAAGCATCTAGCTGAAAACATTTTAATAAATAAGTTGTGTTTTATCTGGTGTTTAGTGGACCTAAAAATTCTAAAGCCTCTGTGAAAAATTTATAAGCAAGTTTTAAACTTTCAACGGTACTGTTTAAAAAGAACAGTCCTCCACTTTTGCCATTTATGTCCAAGGTAGAACCTAGAATTAATTTTAAATCAAAGGATTTAAGCAGGAAATACTAGACTTGAGAATAAAAGTTGGAGTCGTAGATCAAACACGTTTGGGTCATCACTACACTTCAATGGATAATAACACCTAGGACTTCAATGAACAGACTCTTATCCCTGAAGACTAGATCAGGGAATAAGAGTACACCAGCTGATCCCTGCCATGGTACCATTAAATAGGATATCAACAGTCTCTTAAAGAGGAAAAGTGATTATAGGCTATCTCAGAAAAGCACACGATCAAATAATGTTGGAGCCATTCCAGACTAAACCTAAAGCTATTAGCTGGTAGTTCACCTGCTTATATTATTTTACTCCTAGTACAGATATAGCTGTTACCATTATAATCTTTCTGCTATGTTTACAGAAAAAAATGGAAAAAAATTACTTTTGTCTTTCTTGTTATGTTTGCCATCTGTCAAATCTTAAATAAGTTTTTCAACAAGCTATAGTAACTGATTAGTAACAACAACTACAAATCTGAAAAGAGATCTCCCTATAATCTATAAATTACTTATAAGCAAGCAGAGTTGCATAAACAAAAATTTTCATGGTATAAACACATGTCCCAAAGACAAGTTTATAAAGATCACTTATAGGTCAGCCAGATGCCTCACCCTCGTATCAGTCACATAGATGAGATTTCTCCTCAATTCTGGAAGAATGAGTTAAGAACCTGGCAGGGTACTGTCATTAGTGAAAGAAGAATCAATTTAAATTTATTCTATTCTGCTATTTAAATGCCAAATACACACAGAGTGTTGGATTCATGTATATTTTTCTATTTCTGTTACATCCAAAAGAAATTTATACTGAAAAGTTAAAGCACAATGTCATTTAAAGATACTGGCTTCTGGTTTTTTGTTCATCTCCATGTAAGGAGCGTGGAAGTCACTACTTCATTCTAACAATAACCAAAAAGCTGAACAAACTGAAAAACCAACAACTCTTCTTAGATCTGTAAGAGAAGTGAAGTCACAGGTCACACAAATACTCTCAAAATTGGAGAGACAGGTAGATACAGAGAAGCACAACTTACCAGTGCAGAAACTCAGAAGCAAAACCTTCTACGGAAACCAGTACTGGGGCTGGAAAACCTGAACTTTAATTGACAAATTGCTGGAGTCTTGGTGTGGACAAGCCTGAGAGTTTGAATCCAGGAAGAACAAGTCACTAATGGGAGTTATGCTTTTATTTGTTTTATCAGCAAGAAACCTACTAGGTTTTCACAGTAAATATTTGGGGAAAAACCCTCTCATGCTTCAGGCAGGGGGAAAGGAAAAGGTGCCAGGCTGAAATATGCCAGTGTACTCTGTTTCTCTCAACAAGGTCTGTCCTTTAAAAACAACAACAACAACAACAACAACAACAACAACAACAACAACAACTATTAATCCAGTGCTTGAACTGCTGGGGTTTCACTACAGTCTAACTGACTAGGGGGAAAGGAAATAGCCAACTCCAGCCAGCTCTAGACTTCCACATGGGAAAAGAAAATACCTAACTCCAGGCCTCTCTAGATATCCTGTCCCATATAAAGGAGAGAATGTGGACTGAGAAACATGAAATTTACAGTCCAGAGGCACATGTTCACTAAAGACTTTGACCTAATCAGAGGATTAGAGAATGCTTTCTCTGCCCCACACCTTACCACCACATTACTAAAGGCCTATTTACAGCACTTTCTTTTACCCAATACATCATATCCAGCTATCAAGTAAAAATTACAAGGAATACTCAAAGACAAAACAAAAACAAAAACAAAAACAACAGTTTGAAAAGACAGAGCAAGCACAAGAACCAGGCATGGCAGAATGTTGCAATGATCAGACTGGAGATTTAAAACAAGTATAATTAATATGATAATTGTTCTAATAGATGAAGTATATAACATGTAAGAACAGATGGACGGTTTGAGCAGATAAATGAAAATATTAAGAAAAAATAAAAAATTAATGTTAGGGATAAAAAAAACACTGTAACAGAAATGAAAGATGCCTTTGATAGGCTTATTAGTATATGGGATAGTGGGCAAATTAAAGAATCTCTGAGATTAAATATCAAGAATATATCAATAGAAACTCCAAAACCAAAAAGCAGAGAATGAAGACTGAAAAAAAAAAACAACAGAATAGAATATTCCAGAATTGTGGGATACCTATTAAAGATATATGGATATATATATTATATAAAATATATATGGATATATAATAAATATTACATATTAAATATATATGGATATATAATATTATATATTAAATATATATGGATATGTAATAAATATATCCATATATATTTAATATATATACTTTTTCCATTATATATTACATATTATTCCATTATATAATATATACTATTCCATTATATAATATATTATATATTTTATTATATATTATTCCATTATATAAAATATATAATATATATCCATTATTATAAAATATAATATATATAATATTATATTAAAATATAAAATATAATATTATATTAAAATATAAAATATAATATTATATTAAAATATAAAATATAATATTATATTAAAATATAAAATATAATATTATATATAAAATATAAAATATAATATTATATTAAAATATAAAATATAATATTATATATAAAATATAAAATATATTATATATAAAATAATATATAATATTAAATATAAAATATAATATATAATATTAAATATAAAATATAATATATAATATTATATATAAAATATAATATATAATATTATATATAAAATATAATATATAATATTATATATAAAATATAATATATAATATTAAATATAAAATATAATATATAATATTATATAAAATATAATATATAATATTATATATAATATATATAATGGAAATACAAAGAAAAGAAGAGAGAAAGAAACAGAAGAAATGTTTAAAACAATAATGGCTGAGAATTCCTCCAAATTAATGTCAGACACTGAACCACAGATCCAGGAAACTCTGAGAACACCAAGCAGAATAAATGCCAAAAAACAAAAAACAAACAAAAAAAAAACCACACCAACAAAATCATTAACTAGGTATATCATATTCAAACCACAGAGGATCAAAGATACAGAAAAATATCCTGAAAAAAGCCAGTGTGGTGTGTCAGGGAAACACCTTACTTACAGAGGAATGAAGATAATAATTACATCTCACATTTCCTCAGAAACCATGGAAGCAGGAAAAGAGTAGAGTAAAATATTCAAAGTGTTGAGAGAGAGAGAGAGAGAGAGAGAGAGAGAGAGAGAGAAAATAAACCAGAGTATAGAATTCTATACTCTGAAACTATCTCTACAAAGTAAAGGAGAAATAAAGAACTTATCAAGTAAAAATTGAGGAAATTTGTTGCCAGTAGACCTGCCTTGTAAGAAATGTTAAAAGAAGTCCTTTAGACCAGATGTCCCCTAACTTTTTGGCACCAGGGACCAGTTTCATGCAAGACAATTTTTTCCATGGATGTGCGGGATGTGGGGGATGGTTTCAGGATGAAACTGTTCCACCTTAGATCATCAGGCATTAGATTTTCATAAGCAGTGTGCAACCTGGATCCCTGGCATGCACAGTTCACAGTAGGGTTCACACTCCTTTGAGAGTCTAATGCCACTTGCTCACTGGTCTGCTGCTCATGTCCTGCTGTGTGGCCAAGTTCCTAACAGGCCAGTCTGTTACCCAGGGGTTGACGACCTCAGCTTTAGACAAAAGGAAACTAATAGGTATTAACTTGGATCTACATAAAGTAAGTAAGAGTATCAAAAAGGAATAAGTGAAGTAAAATAAAAAGTGTTTTTATTCTTAATTAATTTAACTGATAAATTTGTTCAAAACAATAATAGTAATAATGTATTCAATATATAGGTTACTGTCAATTCATTTTTTTTACCAGTATCTAGCATAATGAGAAAGAAATTAGTGAGTTTTTCATGAAGCCAAACATTTTTAAATTAAAGTGTACTACTTTCTTTTGAGATTTTGTTCTTCCAACATTTTTGCTGCTAAAAATATCTGTATCTTTTCAAAATAATAATGTATTTAGTAGGGTTTTGATACTTGTTTGTTCTATAACATCAAATAAAATAAAAATTTGACAAACTTACTGCAGACACATTATTTCCTCTCAATTTTAATGTTTTGTGAATTTTAAAAGTCTGGAAACCACGGTCCTATGGTATGTCAGTGGAATGGCAGGTAAAAAGATTCAAGACGTACGGGTACAGAAAGAGAAACAGCCAAAACCCTACATATTCCTGCGATGGATAAGAAGTAATGCCAATTATCTGAAGGATACTGAATGTATGTTAGAGTGAAAAAATAATTTCTTGCATAAACAGAAAAATCTTCATGACTAATTCACATTCCATGTTACATAACTGAATACATTAGCAGGTATGTCTAATGAAAAAAAAATCAAGGCTGTGCTGAAGAGCTTTGTTCACTCTAACACACATACAAACACACACACACACACACACACACAAAGGAAGTAAGAAAGAAAACCTTGGTGACTTAATCAGATACTTATTCCTGACTTTCAAACTTAGCGGCTGAGAACAAAACCATTTGTATTTCCCATGACCCTGTAGGTTAGCTGGGGTTTCTCATGAAGCTATACTCAGCTGGTGAGTGGACTGGGCTGGGCAGAACAAAATGGCCTCATGTGCATGTCTGCCTCATGGTGCTGATTTATAGCTGGATCCATCTTTTCACTGCACTTTCATTCTGGCATCTCATGGCAGTTTCAGGGAATAATTCCAAAGGGACAGGCTCCGATGCACACACTTACTCAGCCTCTGCTTGCGCTGTTTGTTGATGTTCAATTCACAAAAGTATGTCACAGGACTAAGTGACTACATAAAGGTTTGGGATTCTGAGAGGTGTGACTCATGGGAGCATGTTACTATAATATTCTACCACAGGGACTCTATGCCCAGGTCCTATCAGGCTTCTTTGGTATCACTATGATGAGTCTAGCTATAGATTTCTTTTTAATTCTCTTTCTTGGGATACTTAGTTCCTCCAGGTTCTGTGACTCCACTTCTCCTCCTAGTTTTCAGCTATTTTATCTTCAAATGCTGCCTTTCTCCTTTCTTTCTAGTACTCCTTTCTGGATCTCTAATTGGACATATACTAGATCTTTTTCTCATTCTATTATCTATATTCCTAACTTCTCATTTATATTTTCCATCCTTCTCTCTCTGTTAAATACTGTTTATCATACGGCTTCCTATTCATTAATTATCTCTTAGGCTATAACTATTTATGTCTTTAACCCATTAATGTTTTCAATGTAATAATTTTATCTTCCATTTCTTGAAGTTTCTTTTGCATCTAAATTTTACTGATCATTCCTTATAGTGTGTTATTGTTTGTCTTTCACATTTATTCTTTTATTCCCCACACAATGTATATTCTGTAGTTGACAATGCAATTTTTACATACTCTAAAATCATACTTCAATTTATTTTAATTTGGCTTTAATACAAATAATTTCAATTTTTAAATGAGAATTCTAAAGAATTTACAAAATTCTTTATTATTAACCACTCCAACATCTTTTAAAATACTCAGAATTGTTAAAGCATTAAAATGCAACAATAGAAAATAGATTAAACAAATTATAGTTCGACAAGATAATGTTATACTGTAGTGTCATTTAAATGGTGATACAAATTTGCCTTTATTGATATGGAAAGACTCCACAAAAAGCGAAAATAACTGATTAAGAAGCAGCCATTCATTCATTCATTTACTCGTAAATATTTACTATGCAAATAATATGTATGTGCCAGGTACTGTTCAGTGTTCTGAGGTCTAATGGTAAGCAAGAGATTAAAAATAACAATATTAACATAATATATTTTCCCTATTTATATTATAAAAATATTTTGTCTTATGTACTGCAAATGTTTTTTCATTTGATATTTTAAATTTGTCATTTTAGATTTATTTTTCCTTGCCATATACCTTAATGGAAATATATCTGAAAGATCATATCTTCACATTTTAAGTGTTAAACTACAATTGGATTTCTACAGGTGGTTTTCAATTTTTTTCTTACCTATATTTTATATTTTATCTCCCATTAACATATACATAGATTACCCATCACAAAATACAAATAATTTCATTATAAAATTTTAAAATATACGATAAGAAATCTCAAATATATATTATTTTATGCATACGTTTATATGTAATATTATATACTAATATTTTAACAAATAAAGTTTTTATAAAATAAACTAGAATTTTGAGAAAAGACTAAGAATAAAATATTCCCTGTGTTTATAGTCAAGATTTCTTATAAATGCATACTCAACAAATATTTAATGTTAGCTTTGATCATTTTTATGTTGGGGGTAGGTGTGCTTCTGTGTGTATTTGTGTGTGTTTATAGTAGAATCATTGCTAAATGGCTTAGATGGGATGGAAACACATAAAAATATGGAAATATGGATGACTATGTCAATGGTTAAAAGCAGAGTTAAGAGGTTTTACCATGAAAGAATGTTGAATTTTATTAAATGCTTTTTCTACATCCGTTGAGATGATAGGATTTTATCCTTCCTCTATTAATGTGGTGTTTCACACTTATTGATTTGCATATGTTGCACCATCTTTGCATCCTAAGGATAAATCCCCCTTAAGTATGCTGCTTGATCCTTTTAATATGCTGTTGAATTTGGGATGCTAACATTTTGTTGAGGATTTTTGCATCTATGTTCACCAGGAATATTGGCCTGAGTTTTCTTTTCTTGTAACATCCTTGTCTGGCTTTCATATCGGGGTAATTCTTGCCTTACAAAATGAGTTTGGAAGTGTTCCCTCCTTTTTAACTTTTTTGGAAGAGTTTGAGAAGGATTTGTATTAACTAAAAAAAAAAAAGTTTGGTAGACTTCACCCATGAAGTTATCTGGTATTGGGCTTTTCTTTGTTGGGAAATTGTTTATTGCTGATTCAATCTTCTTTCCTCTTATTTGTATGCTCATAATTTCTACGAAGTCATACATGAGAAGCTCGCACCTAACCACATTCTCAATGATGAAAAGCAAAATGAAACGTCTATCAAAATTCCAGTGACATTTTCCACAGAAATGGAACAAAAATCCTAACATTTGTACGGAACCACAAAAGATCCCAAACAGCCAAGGCAATCTTGAGAATCAACAAAGGTATAGGTATCATACTTCTTGATTTCAAATTATATTGCAAAGCTGTGATAGTCAAAACAGTCTGGTACTGGCACAGAAACAGACACATAGAACAATGAAATAGAACAGAGCAGAAAAATAAGCC
The DNA here is from genome assembly GCF_000001405.40 of Homo sapiens. Classification (NCBI taxonomy): domain Eukaryota; kingdom Metazoa; phylum Chordata; class Mammalia; order Primates; family Hominidae; genus Homo; species Homo sapiens. The sequence continues at coordinate 83,004,350 of NC_000007.14, forward strand.
CAAGCATTTACAGTCAACTAATCTTCAACAAAGACTCCAAGAATATACAACAGAAAAGAATAATCTCTTCAACAGGTGGTGTTGGGGAAACTGGATATCCACATGAAAAATAATGAAATTGGACGCTTACACATGTGTCTTACACCATATACAAAAAAGCAACTCAAGATGGATTAAAGACTTAAACATAAAGTGTGAAACCATAAAAACCATAAAAATCCTGCAAGAAAACAGATAAAAGTTCCTTGACATTGGTTTTGGCAATGATTTTTTAGATATAACACTAAAAAACATAACACTAAAAAACAAAAGCAAAGTAAACAAGTTGACTACATCAAACTAAGATGTATTTTCCATAGCAAAGGAAACAATAAAATAAAAAGAAAACCTACAGAATGAGAGAAAATATTTGAAAAACATATATCTGATAAAGTGCTAATATCCAAAAAAAATAAGGAACTCTAATACAACTCAATAGCACAAAACACATAACCTAATTTTAAAATGGGCAAAGGACATGGATAGTTTTTTTTATTATAAGTCATACAAGTAAATATTAGGTATATGGAAAGGTGCTCAACATCACTAATCATCAGGAAAACGCGAATCAAAAACACAATGATATATCACCTTACACCTGTTAAGAGTGATTATTATCAAAAAGTCATATAATAAGTGTTGGAAAGGGTAGGAAGATACATTGTAGGAGGGAATGTAAATTAGTACAGACAGAGAAAACAGTATAAGTGTTTCTCAAAAAATTTAGAAAAGAACTACCATATGATCCAGCAATGCAGCTTTTGGGTATATATTAAAAAGAAATAAAATTAATATGTCAAAGAAATATCTGTACTCCCATTATATACAATGGAATATCATTCAGCCTTAAAAATGAAGAGAATCGTGTCATTTGTGACAACATGGATAAACCTAAAAGACATTATGCTAAGTGTAATAAGACAGAAACAGGATGAAAAATACTGCATACTCTCAATTATATGTGGAATCTAAAGAAGTCGAACTCACAGAAACAGAGAGCAGAGTAGTGGCTGCCAGGGGCTGGAAGTTGAAAAAGATGGGGAGAGGTTGGTCAAAGGGTAAAACGTTTTAGTTATGCAGAATGAATAAGTTTTGGAGATCTAAAGTACAGCATGGTGAGTATAGTTAATTGCAATGTATTGTATACTTGAGTTTTCTAAGAGAGTAAATCTTAAGTACCCTCACCACCAGGGGGACAAAAAAGTACAAACAAGCAAGCAAGGAAGAAAAGTAACTATATGAAGTGATGAATATGTTTATCTGCTTGGCTGCAGCAGTCATTTCACAGTGTACAGGTAGGTATATGAAAACATCAGGTTGTACACCTTAAATATACATACTTTTTATTTGTTAATTATGCCTTAAAAAGCTGGGTTAGGGGAAGCTGAGTTAAATATTTTGCATGTTTTAGTAAAGGAATACAACTTTCAAATTACCTAGCCAAATTATCTATTTAAATAAAATAATATGGAATCAACTTTGAAATTAAGGAAAAAATATACAGCAAATGCCTTCATTTGTAATTTGGAGCAATGTTCTAATTACAGCCATTACAGTAAAATATAGGAGCAAAGTCAAAAGTATGAATTTTTGTTTGTTTCCTTATGAATAGGTACACTTTTAAAGCTCTATTTGCCTTGGCAAACATGACACTTGATTTTAACTGTACGCAATGCATTTTATGGCTTTCAGTTAATACAATTAACAAGGTCCCCCCTTCCAAAGGGTTTAAGACAATAACAGCACCAGCAACTTTTGATAGAAAAGAGCCACAGCTTTAAAAATAATTTACTCTATACCATTTTAAATGAGATCAACTTTAGATTGGACTTCTAAGTTTAAAAGATATTCGTGAGTTAATAACATAATAGAAATGTAAAACTTTAATCCACAGAATGTGGCATTTAGAATTACATGTTTAAAAACTATAAACAAACAGAAAAAAATACTTGAATATGTTTCACAGCACATGGTAAAGTTAATAGATAGTTTTATGGTTTATTTACAAATATTTTGAACAATAATTTATTTTTATGGATTTGAGAATTACAGACATGGTAGATGGCAAAGTAGTATAGGAACAACAATTTAAAACATTTACAGTTCCTTTCTCATACTGCTGTTTCATAAGAGATGCTGCACAGCAAAACAATAATTATTCCTTCATTGAACCTTGGAAATACAGTAAAAAAAAATTTAAACAAAGACAGTATTATTTTTATTCAACATGCTGAGTATACTCCTTCTTTTCATTTCAATTAAGTGCCCCTAAGAATAGTGTTGTATACTTGAATTTCATAATGGGGAAATTGCATGGATCATACTTTATAGATGGAAATTCCTACAAGTTACAAAAAAGTCTCTATAATATTTATTAAACGCATTACTTGTTACCTACCCCTTCCTTGTTTTTATTACACAAAATCATTTTAAGTCTTTGCTCAAATATTTACTCTTCAGTGATGACCACATATTTAAAATTGAAATTCTCCCTGGTTCCTTAGCCTACACAGTCTCCCTTATACTGGTATGCTTTTTACCTTTTCCTTACCATTTGCCACATTATAGCATGCTATATTTTATGTATTTATTACGTTAATTTACTTATTGTCTACCTACTACCACTAGAATATAAACGTCACAAGGACAGAGAATTTTTGTTTGCTTTGTTTATAGATGTATCCCAAGGTCCTTGACCATTGCCTGTAAATTAGTAGGGCCTCAATAAAAAAGTTATTGGAATAGTGATATGGACTTAAATTAGTAATTTGTCTTCTCCTTAGAAACTTAAAAATTCTCCAACAGAAAAACAGTCAAGGCATATGAGCAAACAATTCCCAAGGGAAAAAAGTATAGAAACACAACTTCACAGGTAATCAAAGAAATGCAAAATGATGTCTTGAGAGAACACTTGAAAAATTATAAAATAAGGTAAAACACTGTTGGCAATGAGTTAGGGAAACAGGTGAATACATTGTTGTGTAAAGTGGTAAAATATTTATCAGCTGTTTTGTTAATATAAAGGGCATATTAAAATCATAACTAGACAAATAATGGAAAAATGGAAAGTACTATATATTTTATAGCTATGGAAAAACGATAACAACTTAAATTTCCAATAATAGGGAATCACTTTGGCAACTTATTTCTATATAGAGAAATATTATGTAGCAATTTTTAAAAATTACGATGATAAGATATCCATTTCTTATTAACTAGTGGAAAAATAGGTAAGAAAATATATGTATCATAAAATATTTATTGGGGGAGGACATTTAGGGTAGAATGTAAGAGTGTGGGTTTGTAGAGTCAGACTGCCTGGGTTTGGTTATTTTCCATCACTTATGGTTATGAAATAATGGCAAGTTAGTTCACTGAGTAGAACCTCTCTAAACCTTAGTCTAGACATCTACAGAATGAGGGCATGTTATCTACTTCAGAGAGTTGTTATTAGGATTATGTGATAAAATCTATGTAGTGTACTTAACAGTGTCTGAGACATGGACATGCTCAGTAAATGTTAGCTGCTGCTATTGTTACCTGCTTTATTTGGACATCTACATGTGTGAGGAAAAATACAGAATGATATATAATAAAAACTGTAATTATTACTTAAAGATTGGTTAGTATGTCATTTTATACTTTTATTTCTTTGCAAAGCCTACCCTATATTCCAAGTAATACCTGTTATTTGTGTAATAAATACACACACATACATACAAAAGGCATAAGAAATATGTAAAACACATGACCAAACTATGTTTATTATAGGATTCCACTCTCTTCCCTGCTGTGAAAAATAAAGATTGTATATTAGCAATTTGTCCTCAAAGGAATTAACTATTTTTAATGTTTTACATTTAAGAGCCTAAATATCTTCTTTTAAGGTCAAAATAGTCATTAAAATATAGAATTACCCCATTTGTTAAAAACCGGTTAATATAAAACCAACAAGAAAGTCTGAAAGTTTTAATAAGCTATAACTTGTGGGAGTAGGAATCTAATCTTTTTTAATGCTTCCTGTACATGACACATTTATGTATTTTGTAATTTAATATAAACCTAATCCTATAAGGTGGACATTATCCCTATTTTACAAGTAAGTTCATCAAGTTTCAAGATTACTGTTAGTAAAATGAGAAACTGAGGCCAATTCAGGTTGACTGGACTGCAAAGTTCACGGTCTTTCCACCAATTCAATACCAACATCTAATGTTTCCTATCGTGGATTCCTGAAAAGGCTAAGAATACGTAGCCAAGAGAGGGAGAAAGAATGCTTTGCAGGGTTAGGTAGGAAAGACTAAAAATGTATAATAGGTTGACTCAGATAGTACAGCTAGTATTAACAAGGTCAGGAATATTTCAACAAATATACCTAAACATATCAATTATCATATTGGTATACATAGACAAAAATGACTGGTTAAAATGAATATATGATATATATCATTATGTATGTATAATGATACATTATAAATATATATGTTTAGATAAGAAACACACTCAAAGTGCCATAGAAATCTAAAGCTAAAGCGATGGAAAAAAGATATATTAAGCAAATATAAAAAAAATCAGTTTCCTGAGACATTTATATAAAGGCCAAAAAAAAGTTAATCTCTCCAGCAATTCTATACCCATAAATATCCCATACAGAAAAATTACCTAAACCTTAATTCATTTTAACTTATTTTAAGATAGCCTTTTTAGTGGGTACTAGAAAATATATTTTTAAATGTCTAAATATAGCATGTCTACTGGTTCTTTCTTGTCTCCATGCTTAGCTCCCTGACTAGCAAGCAATGGATTAACCACAGACTCAGAATATTATGTAATATCTGAACATTTTTAGAGATAAATAATTTCACTAGTACCAAATGAACTCATTGGCATAATGTTTAACATAAAGATAGAAAATAATTATTTGGACAAATCATTTTGATACTGTGAAATTAACACTAGAGAAGGATGACAGCCTGAAGTCAGTGTGTTTTCTTTGTGATTTGTGAGCAAGTTATTTAGCCCATCTGTGCCAAAGATTTCCAATTTCTATTTAATTATGAATTCCACCAACTTTAAATAAATGGTTGAAGTATAATGAGAAGGAGATAATAGCTTGCTTTTCAAAGAGAAATTTTTATTCTGTGGCCTGAAAGTACATAATGAAATCCTTTTATAATTTCTGTACTAAGAGATTAGTTAAAATACATTTGATAATATACAGAGAATACAAAGCTCGTATCAAATTGAATGACTTCTTGATATAAGCTATTGCCTGGAATGGAAATAATATAAATTTAAAATAAATACTTATTTCTTAGGTAAAGATTTAAATTAGATTAGAAAAATTTATATAAGAGTTTCTTTATTCTAGAAAAAGACAAATGTTATTGGGTTCCATACCCATTATCTACAGATTGCCTATGCATGATGTTTAAAAGCATTCTCTAAATACTAGAATAACAAAGTCTTAAGGTTAGAATATAATAACTATTTACTAAAGATTCTCTAAATAGTCAATTAAGACATTATTTTTGAGAATACATTAATTTGTAACATGACAAGTGGTGAGCACCACTCTCTATTTTTCTTTGACATTTCTGGATACCACTTCTCACTACTGAGCAAGTTACCTGGCCTCTTGGTGCCTCAACAAACTCCACATTACATTGTGGATGATATCTGTACCTATCACATAGAATTGTCATGAGGATTAAAGGGGTAACTGTCACACAATGTCTGTTTCTTATAAGCATTATTTTCTTCATGACCTTAAATATCAGTGTTTCCTAGCACTCCATTCTAGAACTACTTCAAGCAGCACATCCTTCTCAATGTCAACAAATAGCTTTGGCTCGAAATTCACATTTACAACTTCTTATGATGTCCCCAGTTGAATATTTTTTAGGTATCTCAACTCATCGTACCCCAAGCTAAATTCACTCTTAATCTACTCCTCATTCTCAACAAAACCCTTCCAATCTATTCCTGTGTATCTCCAAAATCAAATGTATTGAATAGCACCGATATCCAATCCATCTAGTTGACATCCAATTCAGGAAAAACTGAAATTATCCTTCACTTAAGACCAATATTATTTTGGCCACCAAACATGATAATCCAGCCTCCTAAATATTGATTTATATTTTATTTTATATCATATACAAATAATTGTATATATGTAAGTAATTATAAAATAATTATATTTTAATATAATATATATTTCATATTCCTATTACCATCTTGCCTTGCCTCTCAAACTACTGAAATTATCTCCTAACTTTTCTCCCTCCCTCCAGTTTATCCCTATCTGAAGCATAAATCATCCACACTTCACATATCACCTTAGTGATATTTCCAAAGCACTAATATAATCATGTCACTCTCCGCCTATAATACATAAATGTCCCTCCTCCATGTAAAGAATAAATCTCTAAATCTTTTTTCCAATAAATCCTTCAATAATTTATTTGCTTGACATCTGGTCTAGTCTCATCTATCACCATACTCTCTTGCTTTCGACCCATATGAATACCTGTCATACCCAAACATAAATTCTTTCTTTCCAACTTTAATCCTATATGCTCTTACCTCTGGCATAATTTCCACTGCCGAACTATATGAGAATCTCAGCACACACATGATCTTGTATGAAACTATCCCTTTACAAAGTCAACTTTTGGCCTTTAATCTTTGTTAATATCTTAGTGGTAATTCTAATGCTGCTCTTATTAAACTGTACCGTGATGGTCTACTTTTCTTGCTTTTTCAGGAGATAATGAAAAACTTTTATTTACCTTGTCTTCTCAAAACTACCATGTGAAATTTATCCAATCTAAAAAGAAATATCTTTAACTTATAAAAATTAACAAAATATATATTTTAGACCCAGTGTGAACTAGCTAAATTTTATATTTTTTTCAAAAAAACTATAATTATTGTATACTTGTTTTAAACATTTTATGTGATTACTTTTTAAGTTTTTTGTCATTGTTTGATTAATCTGATACTTGTTGCATATTTGTTGAACACTGTTAGATAAATGCCATAGTGAGGACCATGCACATTCTGCTAAGACAAAAACAACAGAATTGGAGAATATTTTTATTCTCTACAAATCTCATTATGTGATTTTATTCTGAGGAACTTACAAATAAATAGGATCAAGACAAATACATCACAATGAAATGTAAATGTCTAATACTATAATTTTAAGCTGAAAAAAAAAAACAAATCCTAAGAGAATTTTAAAAATATCATCCAAATTTGGCTTCAAACCACTGACTCACTTCTCTTAAACTTGACTTCCAAAGATACAATTGTGACTAAATTTCATCTTGCTTTACATCTGGTACACACACACAAACACAGACACATACACACACACAGCCCAAAAAGCAACACTGGTTGATATGCACTTTAAAGATCCCCAAATTAGCTTCTAACAGATGTAATATTGAAATCTACCTTAGGAATTCATTCAGTTATTCATTCAACAGACATTCAGCATCTTCTGAATGACAGACTCTGCTAGGCACTGAGAATCAGAGATGAGTATATAATATCTTTTTTTTTGAAATGCTAAAATGTTTTTATTTTTATTACTTTTTACAAATTTATTTATTTATTTAAATTGACAGATGAAATTATATGTATTTATTGTATCATATACACTATTTTTAAAAACTCACACTTAACAAACCACTGTTCACAAACTCAAAGAACTGACAAATGAGTAAAGCAAATCAGATACAGGAAAAACCACTACATCAGCATAATAATAAATTTTATGAGTATTTTCAGAGATATAATAGGAAGTGGTGTGAACTATTGTAAACTGCAGAATACGCATCTTTCATCTGGGGGAAGTTACTACTGAGTTCCTATCAATTGTTACTTGGAGGAAATAGGAGCCTAGAGTTGACTGATAATTGTTTTTAAGGAAAAGCCAGCCAGGTGCAGTGACTCATGCCTATAATCCCAGCACTTTGGGAGGCCGAGGTGGGCGGATCACCTGAGGTCAGGAGTTTGAGACCAGCCTGACCAACATGGAAAAACCCCATCTCTACTAAAAATACAAAATTAGCCAGGAGTGGTGGCGGGCACCTGTAATCCCAGCTACTCAGGAGGCTGAGGCAGGAGAATCACTTGAACCCAGGAGGCAGAGGTTGCGGTGAGCCGAGATCGCACAATTGCACTCCAGCCTGGGCAACAAAAGTGAAACTCTGTCTCAAGGAAAAAAAAAAAAAAAAAAAAAAAAGCCAGAAGCCCAGATTTTTATATGAAACCCCTTGGGGTTCAAATATTCATAATCAATTAACCTCTTTATAAACAAAACAGAACACCTTGGTGACTAGTACAGCACAGCTCAAGAAAACATCCCTGTTTACTGATTCTGGCCTGTAGGCTACCAGATCAAAACCTCTAGATTAAACTCTAATCTGAGATAATAAAACAGACCAGGTGTTTTAGTTTTAGATTAGTTTTGAAAGCACAACCAAAATGAGTTATATAACTTACGAGATACTGATGGAGTTCAACCAATGCAGAGAAGGAAAGTCACAACTTCCCTATGCTGCCACACTGGAAAGAAGGTGATGAGTTTCAAATTTGCTATATGAGTTCAATACTCATCCCACACTGCACGCCTCCTTGCTCTCAATATACACCTTGCTGCTCAGCTTTCTAATTCCTAAGATCATATACATATATACATATATTTTCCAGCTAGGTATATAAATAAAAGTGAATATGGCACTTATAATAAAAATAAAAATCACATGTGAGATATTCTGTAATGATAAAAAAAAGTACATTTCTGAAGGGGTCTGATATAAACTGATAACAATACACCATTAATAATATAAGTTTTACATTTCAGTTTGGCAAAATATATGTAAAGTATTTCAGAATTTAACAGGAAATTCTCCTTGGTACACTGCACTGCATTATTACATGATACCTTATGAATTATATATGCCTTCTCGTATATTCAGTCTTTTAACCTCTATATATCTGAGTTTCTTCATTCAAAGTAGTGATAATGCCGTTTTCTTCAGGGTTGTTGTCAAGATAAAATTAAAAGTGTGTATAGAAGTGCCTTGCATAGTGTCTACAACAAGGTGCACCTATTTACTTTTGGGTAAATAAACACTGGATGCTTCCCAGAGCTGGAGCTGAACGCTTGATGACAGAGATGCCAATCTAAATAAGGCACATCCCTGACCAGGAAGATTTCACAGTAGGGTAGCCCTGAAACTTCAGTTGGGTTCTAATCAATCCAGAGAAAAAGACTTTCAAACTTTCTTCTGAAAGAGACAATATATGGAAATGTAACTTCTGAGACTGCTTTCTTAGAGTCTTCTAATGGATTTAAAATGGAACGTTTGTGTGAATAAACAAAATTGCAAGTCACTTAGTGTTTTTGGAAATAGCACAATAATCATTAGAGAAAAATTATGAAAACTATATCAGATATTCATATTATGTGAAGTATTCTTTGTTATTAAACAAAACTTAGCTTTTGGATTTTATTGTTATTATTGTTCCTGTTTCCATTGTAGAATAGCAATTCTTTAAAAAATCTTGGTGTACCATTTTATACCACTAGCACCTGCAAAACAAGAGAAAACAAGCAACTGATGGTTTCATAAGGAGAGCAACCAGTATTTATTGAACATCCATTCTGGCTAGCTTTACACTTGTCACTGTGAGGAAAGACATTCATATTAAAAGATACTGTATGTATCTTCCCTTAAGATATGTACAGTCTTCATAGAAAGGCAAGAGACACACTTGAGATAGTTAACAAAACAAGTCAGTAAATGAACAAATGTCAGAATTAGTGATATAAACAACAGGTAAAGCCATGCCACAAAATGTCTTCAATTAAATATCTATCCTGTTCTACCGTCAAAATAAGCAGAAGTATTTCTCAGTTGCCAGGAATTTACAAGAATTATTAATTATGCATGTATATATGTAATGAATAAAGCACATGGGAGGATAAAAATAAATTCCCCTCTCGAATGCTGAGATAAGTAAGTCTGCCTGCAGAGGTTTAACTATAAAATCAATGCATAATGGATCAAAGAATATATTTCTCTGAAACTTCCAGTCCATAGCAAAATTTCCTGAAAGTAATACACCTAAAAAAAGAATGTGCAAGTCACAAGGGAGTAGAAAGGGATGGCTGTTCAACATTGCAATATAGAATGAAAAAAAAAAATCACAAAGTCACAAAATTAGCACTGCTCATCTAAGCACCAAGCAGGGGAGAGTCTTGGTTCCCAGACATTGACTATTCAGTTCCCTGAGGCAAGGCTGCACCATTTGAGGAGGATGTATCCGGCTACCTTTCCCTAAAGGCAGCAGACAGTCAAATTATGTAACTAACACCTTTGTCCTAATTTCCTGCTTAAAAGAGAAAATTTTGGATTGCCACAGAGCTTCCCAAGAACAAGGAAAATACTAGAAAAGGGATGGGAATATGTACTCCCTTTTTTTAGTCACATTTCTCACAATAAAAGTAATTATAGTAGGGAACACTTTTTGAGCAATTACTATGCGCCAGGTGCTAAGTGCTTTACCTGAAATAACCCTTTAAACTAACACAATAATCCTATCAGCTATGCGCAGCTACTGTCCCCATTTTTCAAATGAGGAAACTGAGGCACAGGGAGGTAACATTATTATTCAAGATGACACAGTCAGTAGACACTGAGATAAGATTCGGACCTAGGTAGCCTCACTCCAAAGTCCTTGATCATTTAAAAATATGACACTATACTGCTTTGCACAATAACATATTACTTGATATTTATAATTTATACAAAATAATTCCATGAGCCTGGTGGACATAAATCAGTATCTTTAAATGTCTCAACAGTTCTGGACCCTGTGAAAATCAAATTTCTGGGCTTTTAATGCTAGGTCTAGGTTTTTTTTTTTCTTTTAGTCACATTTTGTAGTGACCAGTCAGCCTCCTAGAGTGGGAGGGAATCTGACCACTACATGAGATTTCTTTTCTTTACTGTACACATATGCTCTCCCAAGTTCCATATATTTTCTTCTATTTCTATGTGATGTAGATAAAACATAATGCTTTGTATCTCTGAAATAAGATAGCATTTGTTTCAAATTAACACACATTTTGATAATAAAAAATTATCAATGAGTTGTGTTAAAAAGATACTGTGTCCCGATATAAACAGATGGCATATAATCTAAAACAAATTATCATTACAACTTTTTATTGTGAAAACAAGGCCAAATAAATGTAACATGTATTATCCTTAAATAAACCATTTTGAAGTAGCTAAATGACATATAGCCATTATTTTTCAGTTTCTTTAGCTGTATAATAGACTAGTATTTTACTACATTACAAATTTATTTCTTTTTTAAAGTTTGTTTTCTTCCTACAACATTACACGTTCTTAGAAAAGGTCCTAGAATGTTATCTTTTAATTCTATCCTAAAGAACATATGTTTTTTGCATAGTCAAAAGCCAAGAATAAAAATCTTGTCCTTAACACAACAGTTCTTCAAAGCATCTTTTTAGTTTTGAAATATCACAGATTCTTGTGTCTATTTCCTTAAAAAAAAATGCAAAAATTGGCAGCACTCAAGCACCAGCTCCTGAATTGTTTTCATGAACGTGCACAGCCTGGGTAGAAAATCAAACATCAGAAAGCAAGTGAGGTTCTTCCCACTAGCTCACTGAGTTCCTCATGTAAGAAAGGACATGGCACAGGGTTGGACACCCACTATCAGAGGCCCAACAACAGATGGACTGACTAAGAATTAGCAGTGATGCCAAAATCAGGAAATGTCAAAATAAAATTGAATAATGCACACAGGTTGAGTAAAATGGGGGAAAAAAAAACAACGTGTGCAAATAGTAACCTGAAATCAGAATCAATGTTGAAGGAAGCAAGATGTAAAATGTGTTTTCAATTACTGTAAGAAGAACTCAGTTCACATGTTAGGGTTATAACAAAGAATAAAGAGGGTCGCTTATATTTTGAGAGTGCTAAATGACTGTCATAGTTTCCTCATGTTGATTTAGGAATCAACGCTAAGAAACAAATATAGAAGTTTCAGCCATTAAAGAATGTGTCTTTTGACCTTGGCTTCAAAGGAAGGTTATTGTTTAGACAATTTGTGGGGTTAGGAGAGAGATCTACTCTAGAGACTAGAGATGACGTTTCAGAAATAGGTCTACTATAGAGAGCCCTGTATGCTAGGCTCATGAATATAGAAGTCACCCTTAAGGAAGAGAGACATCACTGGAGTATTCTGAATATAAAAGTACTATGTGTAACATGGGAAAAGTAAATATTATGAAAATTATTCTGAGTTATATGGTATAGATTGAAATAGGAAGAATGGACGCTGCGTACTGGGTTTAGCTGAAAAGTATGCTAGATATTGGGAGGTTGACAAAAACTTTACATATCAACTGTCCCTTTAGGCTGTGCAAAAAACTAGCACCCCCTAGGACAGATAGCAGAGCCAATGGCAATTCAAATGCCTTATGTAGTGCCTTAAACCATGTCAAGAATGATTAGCCTTCACTTAAGAATGGCTTAAAGTGGGGAAATGGGCTCTTTTTTCTTTGTGAATAAATTATGGCTCTATTCAGACTGAAAGAGAACAAGAAAGGGGAAAATCTTTCCAAAGACTTGGAAGAAAAATAGACCTCAAAAAATGATTTACTAAAGAATCAGAAGAAATAATTTGAAGATGATTTGGCAGTTTTAATATAATGTTGAAAAAATGCTTTAGATGAATTAGCAGTAGGAAGATCTGGAAATGAAAATATATCTTCTGTGAGGTAATGGAGATGGGTAAGAAATGAATAAAACAGAAGATAAATTCATAATGCAGTCATAGAATTAAACTTTGATATTAGAAAAGAACAGCATAAACATTAAAGAATTTTTTTTTGAAAACTTTACCAGGGTGTAATTGAATAGGACAAAGAAAGAAAAATGGAAATGGACAACTAAAGCACATATGATAAAAGAACTGTAATTCATTCTTGAGAACAAAACCAGAATAACTAGAACAGGAGTAATACTCAGGACACATTTGTCAATATCTTTCCTGAATGGAAAAAGAAACAGATCAAGCAGATCACATAGGTTCACTGAACTCCAAAGAAATCAATGCAAAGAGATAAACCTAGATTTATTATTTTAAATTTATTATTTTAGCATCCTTTTCCTAATGATATATTGAAATGTATATTACATATACAGCTACAAAATCATGTTACTCTTTTGCATCCTGAATAATAAAAAACTTGTTTACCCATTTTCAGAGAAAAGAGACATTTAAAAAAACTATAAACCACCCATTTGAAGTTCCTGTGTAATGACAGTGAAACACATTATACAACATATAAAGACTTCTGATATAATATTAACTATACAATTTTGATGGGAAAAATTATTTAACACATTTTAAATGGCTAAGAAAGAAGTTAAAATAAAAAACTCTGTGATTATTTATAGCCGTACCATCTTGAATTCACCTGATCTGATCTTGGCACCTAAGCAGGTTTGGGCCTGGTTAGTACTAGGATGAGAAATTACCTAGGACTGCTGGGTGCTGTAGGCTTGAAACAAACAAACAAAAAAGAATGGGAAGTTGTACTAATAAATGAATTAAATTTATTATCCATTTGAAAGAATGTTTTCCCAAAATACAAATAATTCCTTATAGAAGTATTATTTATAAAAACCTAAATTGGAACCAAATAAAGTGTTCCTCAATAAATGGTCACACATTGACATAAAATTTAGGTATCAAAATGTTTACAAAGTTATTTTAATGCCACAAAAAGCATTTAACACACAATCCTGTTAAGTGAAAAAGAGAAAATATAAACATATATAAAGAATGTTAGATACATACAGAATGTCAGAATAAATATGAGGCATAAAATAAATATGTTGTATTAAGAGTACTTTTATCTTCAGGGAATCAGTTGTGATACATTTCCTGCTTTTGTTTTGTTAAATAACTTTCTACACTTTCTAAATTTTCTACAATGAGCACTATTATAACCAAAAATATAGAGAGCTAAAATAATATCGAATTTTGATATTCTGTTGAAATAATTGTGTATTTTTATATTTAGGCTAGAATACATCTGACAAAATTATATAGTTTTATAATGCTCATAATGGTTATATTAAAATCATTATAAACTCCATTTCAATTAGAGACATACAAATCCCTTAAATATGTACATGTTAAATATTCTTAATATTTCAGGTATAATACCAACTTCCCTTTAATGTCCAGGAGGATTTTTACTGTATTCTGAGTTGGTGGTTGATTGCTTGCTTTGATTTTACACAAACACTTTTGAAACTCAATTTGGAAGCTTATTAACAAGGAGATAATGGGCATGCACTTAGTAAAGGATTCCACAGCATCAAAGAATTGAAAGCAAGTTTAAAGTATTCTGTGTTTTACACATTACCTTCTTTTGGATTTTGTTAGACTGCATATTAGAGGAAACCTGCTTTTTTAAAACATTGAGTTATGAAGAAAATACCTTTTTGGAAGATAAAATAAAAGAAGTGATAATGAAAGATGCATACTGGCATACAGAAAGGTATATGAGAACTTCCTGTTTGCTCACATCCTACAAAGAAAGTATAATTTATTATATTTTCCATAATATTCCTGAAATCAAGACATTTATACATGAGTGAGTGAATGAGTGAATGAATAAGTGAATGAAAATGTCAATGTAAATTTTGTGAATTGCTAAAAATGTTAAAGAATTTTTAGTTCCCTCAATATGTGTGTCTTGCTTTGCTTGTAAATAGTGTAGCTATTTTAGCTTAAGTGGACCAAATGTATTTTAAATCTTTTGCGGGGTAGAGTAAGGCAGGAAGAAGAACAGAAATAAGAACTTCTTTTGTTTTAATTTTAAACCTATCTAGGCAAAAAGTATGTAAAGCTTATATTTAATAATCTAATATATTGCATTTATTTTATTGTAACCTGTGGTCTCCCAATCATAAGTTTTTTTTTTAACAAAATGTATTTTAAGGAAATAATATAATTAATATAAATTTATACAAAGAGTATCCTGGTGGGTATATTTTCAAAAGTCAGATTTATTACCCTAGAAATGTTCATATGATGGGCAAGAGTTCCAGGTAAGACATGGAGGTCAACAGAGGCACTCTCAGCTAAATCAGCCATATAAAATCTTGATAAATTATATGAAGATACAAAGCTACTATTTAGGAGAACCAATGTCTCATTTTTATTATGTAAACATCATTTCTATGCATGAAGCACAAGTGGCCTTTATTACTCTTTATCTCTATGAAGCACTGTGTTGTTTTCCTATATCCCAAATCACTATTTCTACAGAATAAATTATGACTAGAGAATCCATCAGACTCTGGGGCAAAGACTGAAGCAGCGGCAAAGGAAATTTAAATACCAGAAAGATTCAATGTCTTATTTCAAAAGAGGCAGAGGAAGGAAGCACCTGAGTACAACTCTTCAAGCATTTCAAAGTCACTCTCTTAGTTAAATTTGCTTAGGAGATATGTAGCTCTCAGAAGTAAGAGTCTAAATGATGAAGAAGAATATAATAGTCTTGATTTCAAGTCTTCTTTGTAGTTAGCTGAATTCAAACTTTTTATTAGACCACCGACTTAACTTAGATGGAAAGCATTAGCATGGCCCTTTACACAAAAATTATTAAATAAATGGCACACATCTAAAGTAGACCTTTTATTACTTGGATCTAGTTTGACCCCTAAGTGTTTATATTATTAATTGCTCTGAGAGAAGTGTAGGAAACAAAAACTAGTTTTGTGTTGTTGATGCATGCTGTTACATTCCATCTTTCATGAGGGTGCAGAATTTGCTGACACTTGATGAAGCTTAACTAATGTATGGTGACTGCTATGGTTTGAATGTGACCTCTCCCAATTTAAGTGTGGAAACTTAATCCCTATTTGGTAGTAGTAAGAGGGGGGGCCTTTGAGGGAGTTATTAAATCATGCAGGATCCATCCTTATGAATGGGTTAGTGCCTTAGAAAAGAGCTGGAAGGAACTAGCTTACATCACTTTTACTCTCCCACTTTCTGCCATGTGAGGGCATAGCGTTTTGTCTCTTTTGGCCTCCTGCTCTGCCACGTAAGAACATAGCAAGAAGGTCTTACCAGACAAATAATGCTTGTGCCTTGATCTTGGACTTTCAATACTCCTGACCTATAAGAATAAACTTCTGTTGTTTATAAATTACCCAGTCTGTAGTAAAGTATTTTGTTATAGCAGCATTAATAAACTGAGAAGATAACCATAACATTGAGAAGAGCTATTAGTGAAGTGGTCCCTATAAATTTCGTAAAATTAATCAGGGAAGAAGGGAAGGGTAGAAATGAGAATAAACCAAGCTTGTGGTATATTTGGCATTAATCATTAGGTCAGCTTGCTCTCTGATCTGCTTTCTCATAGTTGTTTGTCACCTATTGTCTCAGAATCATGCAGATCCTACATGATAGTTTCCTTTAACTGCTCTATAGATAACAACTTGAGCATTGTGAAATGTTAAATTTTCCTTTTGAAATATTCTTTCAGGGCCTGCACACCAATGAAACTACTGATATCAGCTGTTCTGAAGAAACCCAGAAGAGACTGAATCACCAAAGAGTGCAGTTTCCACATCCTGATGATTTTATCATCCTTACTCTGACCAAACAGTGACCTCAATTTTACAGCCCCTCACACCCTATAATCATCCTAAAAACTTCAGCCCAGAACTCCTCAGGAGGATAATTTGAGGGTTTCTCCCATTTCCTTATTTGGCTGCCCTGTAATCATTAAACACTTTCTCTGCTGCAAACCCTGTTGTCTTGGTGTATTGGTCTGTTACTGTGCAGCAGGCATTATGAACCTAGCGGTCCTACAATATCAGAGTGTGAAACCACTGGCCAGAGAGTTCTGGATCTAAATTCTGATTTTCCCATTTATTGGCACTGTGATTTTGGACACATTATGTAAAGTTTATGGTCCTCAGTTTCTTATTTAGATAACAGAGATAAAAGGTTTTTTTTTAATCTGTTTAGAATGAAATGAGCAAACATAATGGAAGAACCAAGTACACTGTTGTAACACAATGTAAATCAATAGACATTGTCTCTCTCCTTCCCTCTTCCTTTCTTCCTTTCTCCCATGTGCATTTCCTGATATAATTACCAGCATATAGAAATAAAAACATATTTCAGTAAATTTGGAGCAAGGCCAACATCTATTAAAACAAGGTAAAACAATATTGTGATTAAGAGTAAAGCGTCTAATTCTGGGGAAGGTTCCTTCTAAGTGTTTTGACATATTTTATTTAATCTTCCCTGAGTTCAATACGGAAGCTAAATTACAAACTTTACCACAAGATAAGAAAGAGGCAAGAAAATAGAATTTTATAAGCATTTCTTAAAGACTGCTAAGGAATTGTAGTGTGTGTGGTATGAAGTTGTTCATATTGGCCTGCAAGCAAGCATTCTGGCAAGATAAAATTATATAAACAAATTTAAAAATATTCTTTTTGGATATGTTATGGTCTGAATGGTCTGAATGTATGTGTTCCTCCAAAAATTGTATGCCAAAATCTAACCCACAAAATGTGTTGGGGTTAAGAGGTAAGGCCTTTTGTGTAGTACTGAAGTGATGAGGGAGGAGCCCTCATGAATGGGATTAGTGCCCATATGAAAGAGGCCTGAAGGAGCTTGTTGGTCTCCTCCCCCATGAAAGGACACATAGAAGGTGCTGTCTATGAGGAATGGATGCACACCTGACACCAAGTCTGCTGGTGTCTTGATCTTAGACTTCCCAGCCTTCAAACTGAAAGCAATACATTTTTGTTGTTTATAAATTACCCAGTCTAAGGTATTTTATTAGAGCAGCCTGAATGAACTAAAACAGTATATAAAATAATTATTTGTAAATTGTATTTGCAAAATTTAGTTCAAAAGTAAAGTGACTTAAGCAAAGGTAGCTGGAAAATGATGGCAATATTTTAAAGGATCAAAAAATACCAGGACCCGATTCTTCAGGACAAGCTAGGAGTCTTCCCTTGAAGACCATAGGATTGTTTTTCGAATCACCACCTAATATTGTTGGCAAATCCTAGCCGAGATAAATATGAAAACAATATACACTAGCTAAACACTAAATGTGGGTTGAATGAATGAAACAAATAATTTACAATATTCCATATTTTCTTTCAAAATAGACACGCTGATCTTTTAGATTTATACAGTAGAAACTATTTTAGCTGCAGGTCTTTTTTTAAGCCTGCAATGAATGAGTTCTTTAAATTAGAAAAGGTTATAGCACATTTCTTTGCCTTGTGTAACAAACATGCAATAGCTCCTAAGTGCCTCTGGCGTAAAAAAAACTATCTGAAAGCCTGAATATATAGGATAAAGTTTTAACTTCTTCCCTCAGAACTTTATGGACAAAAGTTGAAACATAATAAGCTAATTCTAGATCTTGCAAATTATCCTGTTTTTATTTGATGTGAGATAAATATCATCTATAAATGCATATATCAAATCTGTACATGTATAATCAAATCTAAGATAAATATCATCTGTAAATGCATATATCAAATCTGTACATGTATAATCAAATCTAAGAACAGTTTTTCTTCAAAAACTGTTACCACTAGCTATTTTGACCTGCAAAATTTGTCAAAAAAAGTCAATTTTAAAACATAAAGTATTAATGGCATTTAAAAAGCTAAGAGTATATGGCAAAATGATTTTATGACTTCCAAATCTACTAATTGATTGGTTTTGCAGATCATAATGTAAAAATTGTAGCTGTATATAAACAATACAAAAAGTGACTATTCTTAAAAGTCAAACATTACAGAACTACTTATAATATTATGACTTTGATAATATGACAACCCAGAAACAATTCGAAATGAACACTCAATAGAGGTGGTTAAGACATGTTTAGAATTCAATAATGTATTCTAACAGCTTGCCCAGTTTATCCACATACTCTCCCATCTGAAATCTGATGTACATTGCCAAGTATATGACATTTTGATTGGGAATTAGAGAACCATCAAATACGACATAACTGAATTTGAACACTGATAGTTACATAAAAAATTCAAAACAGTTGTAAGTACATGTCCCTAAATGCTTTAGCACAAAAGACTGTGCCACTCAGTGTCAAGGCAAAGGATTACCTTTTCAGCAACAGTATTTTTGCTTGCCCCCCAAAAACTGAACATGTCTTGTATGGGTGCCATGAGTACGGAAAGCTTACGATTGTTTCAGATAAAATTTAATAGTTTCACTTTAAAAATTAAGTAAACATGTCTTATGCCCACCACAGTGCAGAAGAGGAGCTAAACTAATAACTCTCTAAATTATTAATGTCATTGATAGCAGAGAAGTGATGTATGGCAAATCTTATGGTTTCTCAATAAGTCTTGAAATTCCAATAGCCATTCCTAGAAACTTTATTTTTCTGGAATGCATACCAAACAAAATTGATAGAAATGCTGCCGTTGAGTAATTCCCAAGAGCTGACTCATCTTAACCATTCTTTCACTCAGTGATCATTTATTGCTTACTGGCTTTGGGCCAGTCACCATGCTAGGTGCTAATGATACATACTCAGATAAGAAAAGGCTCAGCTCACTCAAGGAGCCAAGATGGCCGAATAGGAACAGCTCCGGTCTACAGCTCCCAGCGTGAGCGACGCAGAAGACGGGTGATTTCTGCATTTCCATCTGAGGTACTGGGTTCATCTTACTAGGGAGTGCCAGACAGTGGGCTCAAGTCAGTGGGTGCGCGCACCATGCGCGAGCCGAAGCAGGGTGAGGCATTGCCTCACTCGGGAAGCGCAAGGGGTCACCGAGTTCCCTTTCCTAGTCAAAGAAAGGGGTGATGGACGGCACCTGGAAAATCGGGTCACTCCCACCCGAATACTGCACTTTTCCGATGAGCTTAAAAAACGGCGCAGCACAAGATTATATCCCGCACGTGGCTCGGAGGGTCCTACGCCCACGGAGTCTCGCTGATTGCTAGCACGGCAGTCTGAGATCAGACTGCAATGCAGCAGCCAGGCTGGGGGAGGGGCGCCCGCCATTGCCCAGGCTTGATTAGGTAAACAAAGCAGCCAGGAAGCTCGAACTGGGTGGAGCCCACCACAGCTCAAGGAGGCCTGCCTGCCTCTGTAGGCTCCACCTCTGGGGGCAGGACACAGACAAACAAAAAGACAGCAGTAACCTCTGCAGACTTAAATGTCCCTGTCAGACAGCTTTGAAGAGAGCAGTGGTTCTCCCAGTACGCAGCTGGAGATCTGAGAACGGGCAGACTGCCTCCTCAAGTGGGTCCCTGACTCCTGACCCCCGAGCAGCCTAACTGGGAGGCACCCCACAGCAGGGGTACACTGACACCTCACACGGCAGGGTACTCCAACACCTGCAGCTGAGGGTCCTGTCTGTTAGAAGGAAAACTAACAAACAGAAAGGACATCTACACCAAAAACCCATCTGTACATCACCATCATCAAAGACCAAAAGTAGATAAAACCACAAAGATGGGGAAAAAACAGAACAGAAAAACTGGAAACTCTAAAAAGTAGAGCGCCTCTCCTCCTCCAAAGGAACGCAGTTCCTCACCAGCAACGGAACAAAGCTGGACGGAGAACGACTTTGACGAGCTGAGAGAAGAAGGCTTCAGACGATCAAATTACTCTGAGCTACGGGAGGATATTCAAACCAAAGGCAAAGAAGTTGAAAACTTTGAAAAAAATTTAGAAGAATGTAGAATTAGAATAACCAATACAGAGAAGTGCTTAAAGGAGCTGATGGAGCTGAAAACCAAGGCTCGAGAACTACGTGAAGAATGCAGAAGCCTCAGGAGCCGATGCGATCAACTGGAAGAAAGGGTATCAGCAATGGAAGATGAAATGAATGAAATGAAGCGAGAAGGGAAGTTTAGAGAAAAAAGAATAAAAAGAAATGAGCAAAGCCTCCAAGAAATATGGGACTATGTGAAAAGACCAAATCTACATCTGATTGGTGTACCTGAAAGTGATGGGGAGAATGGAACCAAGTTGGAAAACACTCTGCAGGATATTATCCAGGAGAACTTCCCCAATCTAACAAGGCAGGCCACCGTTCAGATTCAGGAAATACAGAGAATGCCACAAAGATACTCCTCGAGAAGAGCAACTCCAAGACACATAATTGTCAGATTCACCAAAGTTGAAATGAAGGAAAAAATGTTAAGGGCAGCCAGAGAGAAAGGTTGGGTTACCCTCAAAGGGAAGCCCATCAGACTAACAGCGGATCTCTTGGCAGAAACCCTACAAGCCAGAAGAGAGTGGGGGCCAATATTCAACATTCTCAAAGAAAAGAATTTTCAACCCAGAATTTCATATCCAGCCAAACTAAGCTTCATAAGTGAAGGAGAAATAAAATACTTTACAGACAAGCAAATGCTGAGAGATTTTGTCACCACCAGGCCTGCACTAAAAGAGCTCCTGAAGGAAGCGCTAAACATGGAAAGGAACAACCGGTACCAGCCGCGGCAAAATCATGCCAAAATGTAAAGACCATCGAGACTAGGAAGAAACTGCATCAACTAACGAGCAAAATCACCAGCTAACATCATCATGACAGGATCAAATTCACACATAACAATATTAACTTTAAATGTAAATGGACTAAATGCTCCAATTAAAAGACACAGACTGGCAAATTGGATAAGGAGTCAAGACCCATCAGTGTGCTGTATTCAGGAAACCCATCTCACGTGCAGAGACACACATAGGCTCAAAATAAAAGGATGGAGGAAGATCCACCAAGCAAATGGAAAACAAAAAAAGGCAGGGGTTGCAATCCCAGTCTCTGATAAAACAGACTTTAAACCAACAAAGATCAAAAGAGACAAAGAAGGCCATTACATAATGGTAAAGGGATCAATTCAACAAGAAGAGCTAACTATCCTAAATATATATGCACCCAATACAGGAGGACCCAGATTCATAAAGCAAGTCCTGAGTGACCTACAAAGAGACTTAAACTCCCACACATTAATAATGGGAGACTTTAACACCCCACTGTCAACATTAGACAGATCAACGAGACAGAAAGTCAACAAGGATACCCAGGAATTGAACTCAGCTCTGCACCAAGCAGACCTAATAGACATCTACAGAACTCTCCACCCCAAATCAACAGAATATACACTTTTTTCAGCACCACACCACACCTATTCCAAAATTGACCACATACTTGGAAGTAAAGCTCTCCTCAGCAAATGTAAAAGAACACAAATTATAACAAACTGTCTCTCAGACCACAGTGCAATCAAACTAGAACTCAGGATTAAGAATCTCACTCAAAACCGCTCAACTACATGGAAACTGAACAACCTGCTCCTGAATGACTACTGGGTACATAACGAAATGAAGGCAGAAATAAAGATGTTCTTTGAAACCAACCAGAACAAAGACACAACATACCAGAATCTCTGGGACGCATTCAAAGCAGTGTGTAGAGGGAAATTTATAGCACTAAATGCCCACAAGAGAAAGCAGGAAAGATCCAAAATTGACACCCTAACATCACAATTAAAAGAACTAGAAAAGCAAGAGCAAACACATTCAAAAGCTAGCAGAAGGCAAGAAATAACTAAAATCAGAGCAGAACTGAAGGAAATAGAGACACAAAAAACCCTTCAAAAAATTAATGAATCCAGGAGCTGGTTTTTTGAAAGGATCAACAAAATTGATAGACTGCTAGCAAGACTAATAAAGAAAAAAAGAGAGAAGAATCAAATAGACGCAATAAAAAATGAAAAAGGGGATATCACCACCGATCCCACAGAAATACAAACTACCATCAGAGAATACTACAAACACCTCTACGCAAATAATCTAGAAAATCTAGAAGAAATGGATAAATTCCTCGACACGTACACTCTCCCAAGACTAAACCAGGAAGAAGTTGAATCTCTGAATAGACCAATAACAGGATCTGAAATTGTGGCAATAATCAATAGCTTACCAACCAAAAAGAGTCCAGGACCAGATAGATTCACAGCCAAATTCTACCAGAGGTACAAGGAGGAACTGGTACCATTCCTTCTGAAACTATTCCAATCAACAGAAAAAGAGGGAATCCTCCCTAACTCATTTTATGAGGCCAGCATCATCCTGATACCAAAGCCTGGCAGAGACACAACCAAAAAAGAGAATTTTAGACCAATATCCTTGATGAACATTGATGCAAAAATCCTCAATAAAATACTGGCAAAACGAATCCAGCAGCACATCAAAAAGCTTATCCACCATGATCAAGTGGGCTTCATCCCTGGGATGCAAGGCTGGTTCAATATATGTAAATCAATAAATGTAATCCAGCATATAAACAGAGCCAAAGACAAAAACCACATGATTATCTCAATAGATGCAGAAAAGGCCTTTGACAAAATTCAACAACCCTTCATGCTAAAAACTCTCAATAAATTAGGTATTGATGGGACATATTTCAAAATAATAAGAGCTATCTATGACAAACCCACAGCCAATATCATACTGAATGGGCAAAAACTGGAAGCATTCCCTTTGAAAACTGGCACAAGACAGGGATGCCCTCTCTCACCACTCCTATTCAACATAGTGTTGGAAGTTCTGGCCAGGGCAATTTGGCAGGAGAAGGAAATAAAGGGTATTCAATTAAGAAAAGAGGAAGTCAAATTGTCCCTCTTTGCAGATGACATGATTGTATATCTAGAAAACCCCATTGTCTCAGCCCAAAATCTCCTTAAGCTGATAAGCAACTTCAACAAAGTCTCAGGATACAAAATCAATGTACAAAAATCACAAGCATTCTTATACACCAACAACAGACAAACAGAGAGCCAAATCATGAGTGAACTCCCATTCACAATTGCTTCAAGGAGAATAAAATACCTAGGAATCCAACTTACAAGGGATGTGAAGGACCTCTTCAAGGAGAACTACAAACCACTGCTCAAGGAAATAAAAGAGGATACAAACAAATGGAAGAACATTCCATGCTCATGGGTAGGAAGAATCAATATCGTGAAAATGGCCATACTGCCCAAGGTAATTTACAGATTCAATGCCATCCCCATCAAGCTACCAATGACTTTCTTCACAGAATTGGAAAAAACTACTTTAAAGTTCATATGGAACCAAAAAAGAGCCCGCATCGCCAAGTCAATCCTAAGCCAAAAGAACAAAGCTGGAGGCATCACGCTACCTGACTTCAAACTATACCACAAGGCTACAGTAACCAAAACAGCATGGTACTGGTACCAAAACAGAGATATAGATCAATGGAACAGAACAGAGCCCTCAGAAATAACGCCGCGTATCTACAACTATCTGATCTTTGACAAACCTGAGAAAAACAAGCAATGGGTAACGGATTCCCTATTTAATAAATGGTGCTGGGAAAACTGGCTAGCCATATGTAGAAAGCTGAAACTGGATCCCTTCCTTACACCTTATACAAAAATCAATTCAAGATGGATTAAAGACTTAAACGTCAGACCTAAAACCATAAAAACCCTAGAAGAAAACCTAGGCAATACCATTCAGGACTTAGGCATGGGCAAGGACTTCATGTCTAAAACACCAAAAGCAACAGCAACAGAAGAAAAAATTGACAAATGGGATATAATTAAACTAAAGAGCTTCTGCACAGCAAAAGAAACTACCATCAGAGTGAACAGGCAACCTACAAAATGGGAGAAAATTTTCGCAACTTACTCATCTGACAAAGGGCTAATATCCAGAATCTACAATGAACTCAAACAAATTTACAAGAAAAAAAAAAAAACAACCCCATCAAAAAGTGGGCAAAGGACATGAGCAGACACTTCTCAAAAGAAGACATTTATGCAGCAAAAAAACACATGAAAAAATGCTCATCATCACTGGCCATCAGAGAAATGCAAATCAAAACCACAATGAGATACCATCTCACACCAGTTAGAATGGCAATCATTAAAAAGTCAGGAAACAACAGGTGCTGGAGAGGATGTGGAGAAATAGGAACACTTTTACACTGTTGGTGGGACTGTAAACTAGTTCAACCATTGTGGAAGTCAGTGTGGCGATTCCTCAGGGATCTAGAACTAGAAATACCATTTGACCCAGCCATCCCATTACTGGGTATATACCCAAAGGACTATAAATCATGCTGCTATAAAGACACATGCACACGTATGTTTACTGCGGCATTATTCACAATAGCAAAGACTTGGAACCAACCCAAATGTCCAACAATGATAGACTGGATTAAGAAAATGTGGCACATATACACCATGGAATACTATGCAGCCATAAAAAATGATGAGTTCACGTCCTTTGTAGGGACATGGATGAAATTGGAAATCATCATTCTCAGTAAACTATCGCAAGAACAAAAAACCAAACACCGCATATTCTCTCTCATAGGTGGGAATTGAACAATGAGATCACATGGACACAGGAAGGGGAACACCACACTCTGGGGACTGTTGTGGGGTGGGGGGAGGGGGGAGGGATAGCATTGGGAGATATACCTAATGCTAGATGACGAGTTAGTGGGTGCAGCGCACCAGCATGGCACATGTATACATATGTAACTAATCCGCACAATGTGCACATGTACCCTAAAACTTAAAGTATAATAATAAAAGAAAAAAAAAAAAAAAGAAAAGAAAAGACTCAGCTCAGCTTTAAGAGCCTCACATTTGATGGAGGGAGAGAGACATTTAAAACTCTAATAAAATTTGATAAGTCCAACAGTTGGGATCTACACATCACACTGTGTATAGAGCAGAGAGCTACAAATAATTAATCTTGTCTCAATATTTAAAAAAACTCTACAGGGGATATCCCTTCGATCTGGAACTTGAATAAATGCTAGGATTTCATCAAAATTAGAGGACAGTAGATATATTAGACATATATAACAGCATGAGCAAAGGCATGGTCAAGTTAGAACATCTTGAATGGTCTATGAAGTGTCTTCTAAAAACAATAGTAAATGACTCTACCCTTAATCTTTTCAACTCCTATCTCTGTAGCCCTTTTGTGTCTGTTCAATTTATACTGCAGTATATCCTAAGAGAAAGGACCATGCAGCAGGGCTGGAATTACAGTGATGAAAATGAGGAACACACCCCAGAAGCAAATTTTAAGGTTGCAAGGAAAAGATGAGAAGCCATGTAATATTGTTTTAAATCAAAATTAGTGCAGAAATCTATGATGAATAAAATATAAAAATACTAAATAAAGACATGCTGCAATAACCTGGCAGTGTTGCAAAATGGGAGGAGGCCTTTCAATCAGCCCAAAGGTTTCTAGCCTGCACAGCCTCTTCAAGTACCCTTCAGTCCTTACAATGGCTGGGTTTATAGAGACTGAGAATTGGGAGTAAAGACCTTTATGCAAACAATCACTTTTTTATCGTAAAACTTTTATTAATTTTTGTACTTGGTTCAAAAAATAGGATATTTTGATAAATATCAATAGTGGATGAATTATTTCTTTTTCCTCAGGCTCTGATATGGTGTCACAAGGCAGGCACTGCACTGCAAGATTCCTTGGCCACCTCTGTTTTTAACTTACTCTAGGATCTGGGAGGAGTCACTTAGCTCCCCTGAGCTGCACTGTTCATACTCATTAGTAAATTAGGGATAACAGCAACTACTCTAACAGCAGATCTATTGTGAGCAAAGTAATTTGAAAGAGTTTATAAATTTAACCTACAGCTCAAACTATATCAATTTAACAATTTCCGATCAGTTCAAACTCAGAGACATCATATGCATGTTCCAAACATCCTCTTCCAAATACCACACTATTAGAAATAGGCAACGGTACTTTTCCTGCAGTAGCTTGGTGTTCTGAGCATGGAAATGTATGTTTTACTACAAGACTGAAACGATCTGGAGTCCATAAAAAATTATATCAAATATCTTGGAATTTTTTATATTCAGAGCAAAAGCTATCATTTAAAATTTTACTCCAGGTATGCCCCCTTGTTAGCTTCTATATCCTGGATGTAATATGGGTACCATTTCATCTCCTCATTGATAAAATACCATGTTACACACAAAAAAGGGAAATGGTAAAATTAAGATTCAGTGTCTGAACAAATGGAAAGACATTCAGAACAGTCTTCAGAATCAGATTCTAAGTGCACCTGTAATGATTGACTTTCTTCTCTAAGAATCACCAAGTAACTAAATAAGGAATGAAAAGCTACATTAAGAAATGAGTCTTAATCTCTCTCTCTCTCTCTCTCTCCCTCCCCCTCCCTCTCTCTCTCTCACACACACACGCTCACACACACAAACACATAATCACTGACCTTTATTTCAGACCCACTAGAAAGAATAAGTCCCTCAAAGATAATCACTAACATTAGGTAGGCTTAATAACACAATTTAGTCTTTTTAATAATTCCCCTTACTTTACTTAAACCCTTTTCAGGACTACCCTTGATATGTCTGCATTTGCTAAACTCCTAGGCATTTTAGGATTGCATTTGATTAGCTACTTTCTTCAATTTAGATGTAGGACTGGTTTTGTAGTTGTCTCAATAGTATGAGGTTTTCACTTCAATTTTTCTTGCTATACTAAAATTGTGACTGTCATCTTAAGGCATGCAGTAGGACTAAGTTGTAACTTCTCAGCCCATGTCCCTGGTATCCCTTTGCCTATCAAACACTCAGTCCTATTCATCTTTCCATCTGGCTTCTCTTTTCACTCTACAAATCTTATTAGCCTTTTGAGTCACCCTGAGTATCTCAAATGACAAATTCATTATCCTTTAAGTATTGCACACTTTACTAGCACTCCTTCTTAAAACTCTATCCTGCTTCACCTTCTAATGCAACAGCACAAGGCTCCCTCTTCATCATGGATACATTTTCATTCTCCATTCCCTCACTCCCCTCACTCCCCTCACTCCCTCCCTCCCTCCTTCCCTTCCTTCCCTTCCTTCCCTTCCCTCCCTTGCCTCCCTTCCCTCCCTTCCCTCCCTTCCTTCCCTTCCTTCCCTTGCTTCACTTCCTTCCTTCCCTTTCTATTTTAACATTGGTGTCTCTGATTGTATTCTCTTGCTATCTTTTTCTTCTCTGCCCTGAGCTCAGATATCTTCTGAATGCCAGATAGAATGTTTTTATTTGATACAATTTCCTGAAGGGCTACTAGAAATTTTTGATTACCATGCCCACAATGAAACTCTTTTCATTTATGGTGTCACCATTTTCAAAATCACCCAGTCATAAAACACTGGCATTATTTTTGACTACTCTCTTCTTTTCTTTATACCCCACATCCAAAAATCTAGAGTTGAATCATGAAGTTTTAATACCTGTAATACTCCAAATGTCTGAGATGCAGGTGGGTGACAATGAAGTACAAGGTTGATATGGTTTGGCTGTGTGTTCCCACCCAAATCGCATCTCATCTCGAATTGTAATCCCCACATGTGGAGGGAAGGGACCTGGGGAGAAGTGATTGGATCATGGAGGTGATTTCCTCCATGCTGTTCTTGTGATAGTGAGGGAGTTCTGATGAGATCTGGTTGTTTGATAAGTGTTTGGCATTTTCGCCTACTCACCCTCTCTCTCTCCTACCACCATGTAAGAAGGTTGCTGCTTCCCCTTCACCCTTCTGTCAGATTATAAGTTTCCTGAGATCTCCCCAGCCATGAGGAACTGTGAGTCAATTAAACCTCTTTTGTTTAAAAATTACCCAATCTCAGGTTGTATCTTTATAGCAGTGTAGAAATGGACTAATAGAAGGGTTAAAGGCAATCAGACTGATTTGATTAGGAATACCCATCTAACTTCTCACTACTTGACATTAGCAGTTTACTTTCTTATCTAAAAATGATAGTTATATTACCTAGTAGATTACTGTAAATATTAAACACAATAAGATAATATTTGGGAAGCTGAACACCTGGTATCTGTTATTTGTATGGCATGTCTCTACATGTAACCTATTCCTCAAGTAGGACTACCTAAATGGTCCTATTTACATATATACCTGCCTTTTCTTTAGCCTAGAATATCCTTCCATCCCACACCATCTAGATCCTACCTATCATTCAATATCCATCTTAGATATTCCCTCCTCCATGAAGCCTTTGCTGATAAACTAACCTTTCTATATTAGTGCAATCTTTCTTCCTTTCAGCACATATATTACTTTGTATTCTCTTTCTTCCTTTCATCACATATATTGCAATCTTTCTTCCTTTCATCACACTATTACTTTCTTAGACATATATTAGTTTGTACTACTTGTACCACTTTGTACTACTCTTTATCTCCTGTATTTTTCAATATTTTTAAATTTGGTAGACATGTTTCTCACCACCATATTTCCCAAGACTTGACTGCTACAATGCTATTGCTCACCCAGGCTATTGTTAATTTTACCATATTCCTTCTCCCTTTATTTGAAGTCATTTAATTCATTCCAAGATAAAATGGTAACTTCCTTGGAAAACAGTATCATATTTATCTTTTTCTTGTCTTCAGTGCGTAATACTTAGCCTTATTCAAGTAATGCTCAATATATTTTTGTTAAATAACTTTAAATTGGAGAATTATAAATTGAGAATGAGTCCAATACAGTTAAGAAAAAAATCAAAAACATCTCTTACTATAATCTCTTGTTCCATTCCATGACAGAAAATCAGAAAACACATAGAAAAATAATAACTCAATTTAACTTAGACCCATGCTGTTTCCTTTTATTCCTTTTTTGTTTTGTTTTGTTTTGTGACAGGTTGGATTGCAGTAGCATGATCTCAGATCACTGTAACCTCTGCCTCCCAGGTTCAAGAAATACTCGTGCCTCAACCTCCTGAGTAGCTGGGAATACAGGCATGCACAACCACACCGAGCTACTTTTTATATTTTTAGAAAAGATGGGGTTTTGCCATGTTGGCCAAGCTGGTCTTGAACTCCTGGCCTCAAGCGATCTGCTTGCCTCGGCCCCCACAGTGCTGGGATTATAGGCAAAAGCCATCACGCCTGGTCCCATGCTGTTTTCTATAAAATACTTTTGCGGAAAAAAAGAGTCAAATGTAACTTTCCAATAATGATGCAGAATGTTTTAGAAAAGCAAATTACTACTCATCTCCTTAATCAAGGACTGCTTCTTCTAGCCAAGTCTCTCACATATTGGATGTATCAATCTAATCTTGTGCACATGCTGTATTGAAATCATTGTTCAACATTGACCATATTTGTGATTTAACTATATAAATTTTCTATTGTGCTTAATCTGGCAGTATCTACACTTTATTTTCTAGTCATTATGTGACAAGAATTTAAAGCTGAGGCAATCATACCAAACTTGTTCATTGATTCTATTTGCAACAGAGAAAAATGCACTGAATGTTCTGTCATGAGTGACTCCTAAGTAAGACCTTGACTACCTTGTACGCTTGGTGATAGTTTTACCTCAAATAAGTAAATGTTTCTTACTGCTGAGGATAACGCTCCAACTGGTCTCTGTCAGTCAATTATAATACAAAATATTTTTCAAATTTATGTGTGTATTTCTGTTTCTTCAAAATGTATAACTCTTTAGGTGATATAATATCCATTTGAGTGCTCTGGCAGCAAGTCTTTAATTCTTAAAGTCCCATTATTGTCTCCTGCAAGTCTCTAATCATCCAGCATTCACAAGCACTAGCCATGTCACATTTGCTTCTGTTCCTGCTTCATTCCTATAAATTGGTTCCAATAACCTGGCTTTTGCACTATTGTTTATGAAACACCCATCAAGAAATAATATACCAAAATTGGAGACAGGCAAAATCAATTACTGCATGTTCTTTCAGAGTAGTTCAAGGTTGTATCTTTTATTAACTTTCTATTGACTAGGCTATTTTACAACTTTGTAGGGCTAGAGGTTATCTTGCAGAAAACTGTTATAAATTCAGATTTCATATCTGACAGTTATGAAAATAATCCTTGTCTCTACTAATGTAAATAAATGTCCACAAGAAATGCAATTGGTTTTAACCTAATAAAAAAAAGATAATTCCTAACATTACAGTGTATTGCTCTGTAGTATATTAACTGGTTTTATGTCCATTAGAAACTCATTTCAGCATTCTTGACAGATTATATTAATCTCTGTACTCTAAGACCTTTTTTTAAAATCCAGTCTTGATCTTACTAGTTACTTTATTAATCAATGAATTAAAAACATCTTTGACGCGTTTATTTTATATTGTATGAGTCATTTTTTAACCTTTTGAAAATTATAATTCAGAAATACCAATTCTTATGCTAAAATTTTTATAATATAAAAAGTATAATGTGAATTAACATCTATTCTGTCCTTACTTTGTGACAGTCTTATTCTGAGTATTCTCTCTGATTCATTTACTTTTCACAGTAACTCCACAAGGTTAGCCCCGTTTTTATTACACTACATTAGAGAGTGAAAAATTGAGGCACAAGCACTCTAGCTTGCTGAAGGCTATAAGGCTCTATCTGAATCCAAAATATTTTTATTTGAGTCTATACATTACCTTCTTAAATACTGTATATCTTTATGTTTCCAAGCCCATGCCTTCCTATAAAATATGTTAGTTTATTTGGGACTCAGGTTCTGTCCTGATCCCTTTCCTTCTAAGATTTGTTAACTGTTAAATCTTACTGCTTCCTAAGCAATGCCTAATGTCCAATCTGTGAGGTGACCCTCAAATCTTACAAAACACCTTCTTAGCACAGTGGTTCTCAAACTTGACTGTGCATCAGAATCACCTAGAAGGCTTGATAAAATAGATTGTTGAGCTCCATTCCCCAGAGTTTCTGATTCGGTTAGTAGGTCTGGGTGGGGAAAGAGAATTTGGAATTCTAAGAATTTCCCAAGTGATGCTGATGCCTCACCTCTGGAGATCACACTTTGAAAACGACTGTCTTAGTAAAGATTGCTAAAGCTCTTGCAGATTGATTGCTAGTTAATCTAGATTAGGCTATCATCTATTTCTTGATCACAACACTTATATTGCTCACCTGATTTCTCTGGATGAGTCTAACCTTTCTTTTGCCTGCTTTTCTTATCGTAGAAGCAGTTGTCCTCATGTATGTTATT
The DNA here is from genome assembly GCF_000001405.40 of Homo sapiens. Taxonomy (NCBI): domain Eukaryota; kingdom Metazoa; phylum Chordata; class Mammalia; order Primates; family Hominidae; genus Homo; species Homo sapiens. Next base: position 83,036,562 of record NC_000007.14, read on the forward strand.
ATTAATATAACCTATAGATGCAAATATCCTGAAATGTGTTGGGGGGTGACCTCAGTATAGCAACTGATTCTCCCAAAGGCTCCAGTACATAGCCCTATTTGTCACATCTGCTATAGTCTGAATATAGAACAGTAAACATTTTGGGGGATGGGGTGAGAAGTTATTTGGAATATCAACTTTTTATTGTTATAATGTCTGCAAATTATTACCCTTGACGACCCTACTAATTACATTGCTCCTACCGCCACTACTATTGTAATTGCTTCCATCTGACCCCTACTGATTCCTAGCTCCAAGGCTGCTTCTTCATGACCAAATAGCTTCATGGACATTGTGTCCTTTTTTCAAAGTTACTTCCTGGTCTAGCATTAATGATTTATGGGATCAATGTAATAATGGTTAAACAGTGATAAGAAATGAAGAAGTTAACAGATTTGACATTCAACTTTCTGATGCTATTCCACCAGTGTTGAACAAAGGTACAAGAAAAATAACTATTCATTTTGGGAAAAACAGGAGTAGAAACATAAAAGATGAAGAAATACTGCTTATTATTTATTGACAAAACAAACCTGCTTTAGCAGTTAAGCAAACCAGTTTGTGATCATACTATAGCAGGTTGCTAGGCTACTTTATGTCTAATGCACCAATATTGACAGAGGTCTGGCTTGCAAAAATGCTTTTAAACAGTTTTCTATAGGAGAATCAGCAGAGACTAAAGAAAAATACAATAAATAATAACAAAACAGCGTTCTGCCATATCATTTTCTTATTAGATTTTCCAATAGCCACCCAGCCTATCACCATATCATAAAACCAAAGTATAAGACGCTCTATAAGTGTTAATATATTTAGAATAATAGTTGGTTTTAAAGGTTTGTTAGATTTTTACTGGAGCTTGCAAGTTAGAGAATCTGTTTGAAGAACATCAGAAAGTGTACTCTACTTTTTTCAGATGGCTAGCTAGAAGGAATTAACACTGAGCTTTGGTCAGGAATAGACTAAAAGGAAGGAAGCAGTTATTTTTCAGATAATAACCTTACTCATACCTTTCATCAACAGAATGCCAATTCTGACTTTTTTTTTATAGTAAATAAAGAAGAAGAGGCATATCCTGGGGCTCTAGCTTCCTCTGGCTTCTCTCATATTATCCTAAAATATCTTCCAGAAAAACTCAAAATTGAGTGGCAATTGTGAAAATGATGTCACACTATTTAATTCCATTTTAAAATTCTCCAACTTATAATTCACAAGTTATAAATCTTTTAAAATCTACATATAATGACTGTTTTCACTGGGACCATTGAAGGATAAAGTGGATATTAACTGCTGCCATATAATGTTGGTTCTCTTTACAATTGGTTAACTTGTGAATTAAATTTTGAGTAAGTTTCCCGTGTTAGTTGTGTGGAGGTGTAAGGAGGAGCTTATATATATATATATATATATATATATATATATATATATATTTATATATTTATATATATATCTTTATATATATATTTATATATTTATATATATATCTTTATATATATATATTTATATATGTATATATATGCACACACACACATACACACACTCATATATACACATACATATATGTATATACACACATACATATAACACATATCCATACACACACATATATGTGTTTAATATACACACATACCATAAATTCACACATTTAAAATGTACAATTTAATGGTTTTTAGTATATTCACAGACATGTGCAACCATCACCACTGTCAACTTTAGAATTATTTTTATAACTTCAAAATAAGCTCCATAACGTTTAGTTATCACCCTCAGCCATTTCACATATTCCCCATCCTCCTTCATCCCTAAGCAACCACTAATCTGCTTTCTATCTCTATAAATTTGATAATGCTGGACATTTTATATGAATTGAATTATAAAATATGCAGTCTTTTTTGTTGGTAGCTTCATTTGTGTGGCATAATGTTTTAAAGATTCACCTATGCTTTTGCTTGTGTAAGTACTTTATTCATATTTAGGGCTAACATTTCATTGTATGAACAGATCACACTTTGTTCATCCATTCATCCATTGATGAGTACTTGGGTTGTTTCCACCTTTTAGCTATCATGAATAGTGCTACTAAAAACATTCATTTGCAAGATTTGTGTGAACATGTTACTTTATGTCTCTTCGGTATCTATGTAGGAGTAAAATTGCTGGGTCATATGGTAACTCTACGTTTAGTCATTTGAAGAACTGTCAGATGGTTTTTCGAAGTGGCTGCACCAATTTATATTCACACCAGCTGTATATTAGGGATGGGTTTGATTTCTCTAGATCCTCACCAATATTTGTTCTTTTCTGAGTTTTTTATTCTAGCCATTCTAGTGAGTATGAAGTAGTATCTCACTGTGGTTTTGATTTGTATTTCCCTGATGACTAAAGATGTCAAGCATGCATTTATTGGCCATTTGTTTATTTTCTCTGGAGAAATGTCTATTTAGAGCCTTTGCTCATTTTTGAGTGGGTTGTCTTATTATCTACTCTAAAGAGCATTCTAATAGTTAATATACAAATCCCTTATCAGGTCTATGATTTGTAAACACTTTTTCCCATTTTGTGGGTTGTCTGTTTTACTTTCTTGATAGTGTGATGTGAATCATTTAAGTTTTTAATTTTGATAAAGTCTAATTCATTTTTTCTTTTGTTGCTCATACTTTTGGGGCCAGATCTATGAATCCATTGCTAAATCCTACTTTATGCAGACTTTCCCCTATGTTTCCTTATAAAATTTTTCAAGTTTTAGCTCTTATATTTAAGTTTTAGACCCATTTTGAGTTAATTTCTGTATATAGCGTGAAGTTCCAATTTCATTATTTTGCATATGAATATCAAACTGTCCCAGTGCAATCTGTTGAAAAGACTATTGTGTCCCTACTGAATATTCTTGGCACTCTTGTCAAATATCAGTTGACCATAGGTACATGGGTTTATACCTAGGCTTTAAAATTAAGATCTATGTCTATCCTATGTAGTACCACATTAACTTCTTTACTGCTGCTTTGTAGTAAGTTTTGAAATTAGGAAATATGAGTCTTCCAATTTTGTTCTTTGTCAAGCTCATTTTGGATAATCTGGGCCCCTTGTAATTCCATATAAATTTTAAGATTGCCTTGTGCATTTCTACAAAATAACCAGCTTAAATTTTGATAGAGATTACACTACATCTGTGGATGAAGTTGGAGAGCACTGTCATCTTAAAATTAGAAGTCTTCCAATCTATTAACATGGGATGTTGTCTTTCAGTAATGTTTTGTAGTTTTCAGAGTATAAGTTTGTAATTACTTCCGTTAAATTTATTTTTAAGTATTTTGTACTTTGTGATGCTATTATAAGTAGAATTGTTTTAATTTCCTTTTTTGCATTGTTCATTGCAAATACAGAGAAATTAAACAGATTTCAAAAATATTGTTATTCTGCAGCATTGCTGAACTTGCCTATTAATTCTAATCATTTTAATGGGATTTCTTAGGATTTTTCTATATATAAGATCATATTTGCTGAGAATATAGGTCATGTTTTCTTTTTTGTGCATAATTTTTTGTTAGAATTTGTACATTTTAGGTAATAGATTATAGTAAACCTGAGTAATGATCATTCTTCAGACACTTAGTATTTATTTGGCTACTTGTTCAGTGGCTGGTTATGTTATTTTAGTGAAATCTATTCTCCCACTCTGTCCACAATGTGAAACCTCAGATGTTGCCCATCATAGGGCACAGATTTTGTAGGCTGATAGTCACCTTGGGATAACAGGGGTTTGGGCAGGCTCTCTTTGACTTTCTCTTTCAACAGATTACACTAGCTGTTAAACTCCACTACTTGCAGCGGATTTTTCTGTTGTTTTCAACAACGTCCTGGGGCATAAATTGTTTCGCAGGCTAATCTATTCGAATTTGAGCTTCTTTGCAGGGATGGTTCCCAAGGACAATGTTTAAATTTTGTTCTGCCCTCATAAGGGGTCCTTCCAGCTGTCTCTTCCCCAGTTAATTATTTTCCGGCAGACTAGCTGACCTACATACAGTTCAGCCTACATCTCTAATAAATCTATCAATCATCTCCCCATTGTCTTTCACTACAACTTCCTCTTTTTTGAGAGTGTCTTTAGGCTGAACTTCTCCATACTCTATTACAAATGATGTCAGTTTCTTTGGAGAGGAATTTAGAGCTCTCCTTTCTAAGATCTGTTTCTCCCCCGCAGGCAAAATCTCTGAGTGATGGACAAGTTCTGGGCCCAAGAACAATGGCTACCTAATTTAATGATTCCACAACATAAACATATATCAAAACATCACATTGCACTCCATAAATGTATGTAATTATTTTTTGTCAATTAAAAATAAAAAATTTTAAAAGGATAATTGTGAATAGTTTTTAGACTGAGAATACTACTTAATCAGGAAATTTAACTTCTATGAAATGTCACAGCTTTTATGACAAAACATAATTATTTTGTCTTTTAAGAATTATAATTGTGGAGTTTATCATTGTTTCTTTTAGAACTACATTGAAACCACAAACATAATGCTGATGATATTCAATATACATTAAACATAAAAGTAAAAAATAAAGTGTATCCTTTAAAAACATGAAATGACTTAGGTGGTTATGAGGCAATATGAATTATATATAAAAAGAAATAAAGATTCAGTCAGACATACGAAACAATAAGTATATATTGTACAGAAAATGAGCCTGCAGTTTATGGCTTCAAACAGTTAAAGACCTGCTGTTTCACCTCCTGTCAATATTCCAGAGGCTGTTAAAGTCTCTATTTTAAAATAGACTTATATTTTCATAACAGTATAGACTATTTCTTAGTTCTGTCTAAACTGTCCTATGTTAATGCATCAGCTTAACTTTCAATTATTTACTGTAACAGGGAGAAAAAGCTTGGTTAATAAAATCCAAAATTCATAACCAAATTATATATCATAGCCATTAGTGACCAACTTTTACATTTCAAACATTTAAAGAAATCTAGCAATAGCATCATTTTCATTTTTAATATCTTTTCAAGCAATTCTTAACCTATAGTGTACAGTCAGTCTAGAAGCACAGAGCATAAAAGTGGGGCAGCCAAGAACATGACATTCCAATATAGCATTTAATCAAGTGTCCATTCTAATATTCAAGAATGTTATGACAAGATCAAAATCTTCATTTGGATAACAGTTTAATTCACACAATTACATTTCCTAAAGAAATGAAAATATTATAGGACTTGGTCTACATTTTCTCATTACATACAACTAAATTTAATCAGAAAGTATTTTTGAATAATATTAATATACGAGCATCCCCTAGGGCTTTCAAAGATATATGTTTGTTTAACAAGGACAGAAAAGACTAAAGGAGGCAATAAAAATTTCTGGTGGAACTCAGACTTTTAATGATTCAAGCCAAATTCATTTTGAAGCATGAACATTGTTATATTCTGTGGTGCTATAGCTGAACTTGAATTGCTATGGGAGTTGATTTAAAACATTTGTTTTGAAAATGCATCACTTTCCTCTGATTGAGGAGTATTAGACAAGGTTAATAATATTATTTTTAAAATTAATATATCATACTACTCTAGTTATTTTACATATAAAGAAGGAATACTAAGTCCTATATTTTCAAGCATCTTTCAATTCTTGCACACTAATGAAAAACAAAACATGAATCGCATTTGTATCTCTGCATTGAAAAACAAAACATGAATTGCATTTGTATCTCTGCATTGATAAATATATATTGCATGTTTCTTGAAAGCTATAACCTAAAAATGACAATAAAATGAATAGCTTAATTAAATAATCTCTTGAAATAATTCTACATGTCTTTACCCCTCAAAAAATGAAAAAGTATAAATAAATTTGGCAAGATTTATAGACTTTGGGCTCTTGACAGATGATCTAGTCAAATTCTTAACTTCATAAACAAGGAAATTAGATGAGGGTAGGGAAGTCACTTGTTTAAGATAATGATAAGGGGACTGGGCACGGTGGCTCAAGCCTGTAATCCCAGCACTTTGGGAGGCAGAGGTGGGTGGATGATCTGAGGTCAGGAGTTCGACACCAGCCTGGCCAACAGGGTGAAACTTTATCTCTACTAAAAATACAAAATATTAGTTGGTTGTGGTGGTGGGTGCCTGTGATCCCAACTACTCGGGAGGCTGAGGCAGGAGAATTGCTTGAACCCGGGAGGCGGAGGTTGCAGTCAGCCGAGATGGCACCACTGCCCTCTAGGCTGGGCAAGAGTGAGACTCTGTCTCAAAACAAACAAACAAACAAACAACAACAGCAAAGATGATGACAACAGGGCAGTCAAAGCAGAATAGATGACACAACCAGAAACAACTGCCTCTCAATGTTGTATTCTGCCCACTGAAGTTATTTCTTTGGGTTTCTCAAACTCAGCACTACTGAGATTTGGGGTTGAAAGATTTGTTGCAGACGGACTGTGCTGTGCATTGTCAGATGTTTAGGAGTGTCCCTGGCTTCTGTTCAATAGATCCTAGTAGCATCCCTTCCCTTTCCCCATTGTGACAATCAAAAATGCCTCCAGACATTCCCAAATATCCTCTAGGGGGTAAAATCTCCCCCAGTTGATAACCACTGCTTTAACATTAGCGAAGCTGAAATTCTGGAGAAAGCCTTAAGATAGCAATAGAGGTCGAGAAAAAACAAAAGAAAAAAAAGTGAATTTGATTGTCTGGCCTCTATTTCCTTTGACCTTTCAGTACATATAAATTCCTTGAATACAGAGAAGGATATGACTAGTTGATTTTTGTTTCTTCATAGCCCTAACATATCGAAGAAATACATGCAATGCATAAGCTCATTTGAAATGACATTATTTCAAAATAACTTCATTTTCAGAGAGGAAAATGTATTGGATATTTGATTATGTACATCCTCTTAAATTCCAACAAGGCATAAAAATTGCCAAAAGATTACATTTGAAACTCATATGGCAACTTCTTACATAAGTGTGGAAGTGGCAAATTAACAGAGAACTCAAGTGGCGTTAGTTTTCTCTTTCATGCACCATTTGAATTGCCCTCAATTTTCATTTGCATCCCACACACCAGACTTCCTGCATTTACACAGCTCTCAAAGCTTCTGACAGCAACTTAAAGATTCAGGCTGTGGTTGGGGTGGACAGAAGTCTACCATAAGCAAAAATGGCTAGGGATGCTCACTGTATACAAAGCCATTTTTAATTAATGGTTTACTTTCCAATTATAGAAGAGAAATCATAACCTTGTTTTCTTCATAAGAAGCAAAAAAGAGAGCCTTAACTCAATCTTATTACTATTATTTTCTTTTTTTTTTTTTTTTTTTTTTTGCATTCTATCTTTGAATCCTGAATCTCCATTGTATTAGTTCATTCTCACACTGCTATAAAATACTACCTGAGACTGGGTAATTTATTTAAAAAAGAAGTTTAATTGACTCACAGTTCCGCATGGGCTAGAAAAGCCTCAGGAAACTTACAACCATGGCGGAAAGTGAAGGAGAAGCAGGGCACACCTTATGTGGTGGCAGGGGAGAGACAGCAAGGGAAACTGCCACTTTTAAAACCATTATATCTTGTGAGAATTCCCTCACCATCACAAGAACAACATGGGGGAACCGCCCCCATGATCCAATCACCTCCGTCCAGGTCCTTCCCTCCACACATGGCGATTACAATTGGAGATAAGATTTGGGTGGAGACACAGAGCCAAACCATATCATCCATAAAGTGTGCAAGTATAATAATTTGTGAGAAAAATAACACAATTATTTCAATTTGGTAACTAATAAACAAATCTGAGCAGTTAAGTAGCTAGCACTTTCCACATAGCAGATAATCTCATAAAATATTAACTGGTTGTTTGAGTGGTTAAAATTTAACAAGAATTATTAAGTAAAATTAAATTATAAATGTGTCTTTTACCATCAAAATTTTAACAGTTCCTAAGTCGGTTTTTTTGTTTGTTTGTTTTTTGTGCAAAGTACCATATGAACCTGCTATACCTAATAAAATTTGTTGAGGGTTACATAATGAAGCAAACAAAAATCATTCTCTACAATAGAGAAGAAAGGAAATATTATACTGATTGGTAATTTGGAACACTAAATTGCATACTTTGGAACACTAAATCGCACATGTAACATATGTACAAAAATAAGAAGTGGTCAAATGTATATTGATTCGATATCTAAAATAATAATCTTCCCAGTATTATCTGAACTATAAAATGGGGGTGTCGTGGGTTGGGAGAATGTTATTTGGCTTACTGGAAGTCAAAGTTTTAGAGGAAATATTTCTTTTGTCATTTAACATGGCTGTATATGAAAGCAATAATGATATAATAAAGTCAATCTTCCTAACCACAGGGTATAGCAAAAATATCTGTAAAACCACCATATGCTTCAGTTATTCAGTATTTCTTATAAACTATGATAGTTGTAAAATCTGACTGAAAAGCAGACATTTCATCTGATTAGGCCCTGATTTTTCTCAAGCAAGGTATATCTGATGCAATTCAATTTTAATGACATCATTTAGCCACTGCTAATATGACAATCTAATAAGTCTTGGGTGGTAAACTGTTACAGTGTCTACTTTCTTTTTAAGTCCAACCCATGTCCTTTTGTAGAGAAAAGAGCAGCACTCCAGAAAAGGAAAAGAGAAAAGGGGTTATGTAATTGTATTGGGGGTGGAGAGAAAAGAGAGATTCGTTTTTCCACGAATGCACTTTCCTTATGCAATGCTATTGCCTGAAATGTCCTTTACTCTTAAAAATCCTCCATCATAAGTTCTACTCATTCTTTATGACCCAGCTAAAATGCCTTCTGCTCCAAGACTTCCTTAATCTGCCTTCTGGAACACATATTACTTTTTATTTTCTCCTCAGATATTTGCATATATGCATGGATCTTTCTTATGGTGATGGGCATATTCTGACTCATGATAGCTATTTGTATTTAGAACTTATCTTCCCTATTAGTAAGTTCTTTAGTTGTATCAATGACCCTATCTTTCAATCTTCAGACTGTCTAATATAGAAATATTCAATTATTGTTTAATAATTTTTCCTCCTCCGTAGCACATAGGCAAATGAATTTCCTAGAAATATAGAAAAATGAGGATGATCTAGAAGATATATTCTTTGGCTCATTCACCAAAATGATGGTTGTATAATACTGCAAAAGAGGCAGACCTCTCTCAGGAGGAATATCACCAATGGGGATTCTAAGGGCCAAGATATTAATGTTACAACACTTAGATTCTTGCCTGTATGAGTTTTCTAGGGGTGCTATAACAAAATGCCACAGACTGGGTGGCTTTAACAACTGAAATTTATTTTCTCATAGTTATGGATGTTGGAAGTCCGAGACCAATATATTGGCAGGTTTGATTTTATCTGAGGCCTCTCTTCTTGGCTTGTAGATAGTCTACCTTCTTACAGTGTCTTCACATAGTTACTTCTCAGTCTGTGATGTTTGTACCCTAATCTCCTCTTGTTGTAAGAACACTAGTCATATTGGATTAGGGCCCATCCTAATGATTCCATTTTAACTTAATTACCTCTTTGAAGACCCTAGCTCCAGATACAGTCACATTCTGAGGCACTGAGGGTCAGAGATAACACATATAAATTTTGGGAAACACAATTCAGCCTATCACACTACCTATTTGAATTAATAAATGTCTAACTATACCATTTTCCTTAATATTTCACCATGGCAAGTCCTAAAATGAATACAGGTACACAACTTGTATTTATTCTCTGTTGTATATATTTACCATGTTGTTTCAGATTGTATACCTATGTTAAAGAAATGCTAATTTTTAAATAAGAAATAGTATCTCTCAGGGAATGGTAAGAATTCTAGTTCCCCAGAACTTTTTCAAAAAGAATCTGAAAGTATTTCATAAACACTGTTTATCTAAGTGACTCTCTCTAAAATACCAGAATTAGGTCTTCCTGTGCTTTTGGATCTTAATACTATTTTGTTTTTCAAATTTGTATTATAAATCACAGAATATGAATACATACATATCTTGTGAATTCTTATTTTATTCCTGTTTGTTCTGACCCCAAAACATTCCTTTTCTGAAGGAATAAGACTTTGTATATATCCAAGGCCCCAAACATAAATGGGTGCATACAATTTAGGGATTTGATTCCATGTCTGAAAAATCAATTTTTTTAAAAAAGAGCCGTGGGTACTTTTGGCATTTCTCACACTCTGCCTTAATTTGTTCATAAATATGGAACATTAAAAGCAAAGCTGGGTTTTGCCCAGAAGCAAGAATTTTAAAAGTAAGAAGAAAAATCAATATGAGACAACAAACTTATTGAAGTAGCACTAAAGGATAAAAATAGCTAATTATTTTTAAATGCACCAGCTAGGTATAGTATCTTAACCTGTTCTTTCTTATCTTGAGAGCTACTAACACTCTACTATGAATATAAAGCAAAAGCCAAAAAAGGAAACAGGTCAAACTCCTAAGTACTAAATGTAGATAAGCAAGGCAAAGAATGTTTCTTATTACATAAATCAAATTTGTTTACACTTTTTGACAGATACCACCACCACTCCTTTGGAAAGAGTGACACTGGGTAATTTGCCTTTATTTGATCATATTTTTAGCATCAAAGTACTTATGAGAGAATTGCTTATCATCTACCTACAAATGAATATATCTTTATATGTACAGGCATGACATTTTTTAACATCAAAAAAGATGTATGATTAATTTTTAGGGAGTATCACACATAGTTTATACCTTAAGCCAAATACAATACATTATTATAAAATAAGATATTAAAAATGAGCTCCTTCATCTCTTACATTGTCCTGTAAATATTCATTGAAGATACTGGAGATATTTTACATTATCATAGTCAATGTGATTTGCATATTGAGTTGAAAATCCACTTCTTTTGGTTTCCACATTATTAATAATGGAAAGAAGACTGCTATAAAGAACCCACAATATGTATATATGTATCTTTACAATCTTGACATTGTTAGCATAAGCAGTAACAACTCTCACTTACTGAGGGTTTACAATTCTCCAGGTACTTTATTAAATTCATAAACATGATCACATCAATCCACAAAAATCCTTTGAAGAAATATTTCACTCCTTACAGATATGAAAATAATGGAAATTAAAGAATTTAAATATTCTCAAAGTCACATATGAATAACTGGGAGATCCATGATATGAACCCAGGTTTGTTTGACTTCAAAGTCTATGGTTTTAACCAATAATTTATCCATCTACCTCTCACACACAACACACACACCCCCACACCCACCTCAAGGATACACCACAGAATTGTCTTAACGAAACTCAGAAATGCAAGCAACAGGTATTTTATGTGAGGACCAGATAGAAGGTCCAAATTTTGTTTCAGAATGGAGTTTCAATGAACTTTTTTTCCACAACTCCAGCATACACTCATCTTCCTTCACTGAACTTTGCTGGGATTTATAATCTAAACAACATATTTTAGTGCTGGGTTGCATATTGTGTTATTAAATGTTTGCTGCTTTATATTCATCTGTCTTGTTTTCCCACATTTATTTAGAATTTAAATTTCAGATTGTTATAGGATTATGGCATTACTATATCTAGTATTTTTATAACACGTAATTATGTTATGTGTCCAGAGCTCTTAAACAAGAATACTATACCTGTTCTTTAATAAACATGTTGCTAACTTGCATGAGTCATTAATCCATAGTAAAGACAGTACTTTGAAGGCCAGATCAGTTCAGGTGCCCTAGACTAAATTATCTTGCCACCTAGAAGATGAAACCACCATGAATTAGATCATATTTCAGGATCTTCTTCAGTGACATAAAGCCAACTGAGCTGTTGGTTAATTGCGGTTTCATCCACACCCCAGGTCACCCAGAAATCAAAACATCCTTGGAGAGATCAGGCAATTACAATATTTTACTCTTTCCCCCCAACTCCACACTAATACTGCAGGTAACTGCAAATTTACTTGACATTCTTTAAAAAGAAAGCAGTATTCCCTGAAGAAGACGGCTGAGTAGCTGACTGGCAGAATGTATGTAAAGGTATGATTACAAGCTTGTGAAACATGTGAGATTCATCCTTTCCTTTATTTATGGCAGCTTTATCATGCTCCAGACTCTCTATTCTCACCTACTGATGGTTTAAAGAGCACCATATTACAAAGCTCACATATTCCTTTATGTTTTTTCAAATTTCAGCTTAAAAAAACTATTCTGAGCCCACTATAATACACTTACTTGGCTATTTAACATGCACTTTACCTATATTTGTATGATCATGTATTTCTTATCTTATACTTTCACACAATTGGGAAAGTTAAGTAACCTACACATAGAAGTTATTAGAACAGATTGCTTAGTCATGGTTGAATGTGATCCCAAACAACAATAATGTACTCTTTTGTATTTTGATCAAGCTGACTTAGCCACCAGCTGCTGTTTTTTCACTAAACTAATTGCTCCTACAGTCACCAAGTTCACCTCTTAGGGAACAGAAAGAAAAATAAGACACTTTCAGCCTGCTCTGTCAGTCTCTAATGTATAATATTTTGATGAAATAGGGCAGTGACTACCTGAAAGATAAGAGCGGCAATATATGAAAAATAAATCCACTGACCAGCAAGGCATGATACAAAAGCACTTTATGGTCTGATAACATGATGCAACATGTGTTGTACCCTATTAACACTGCAGTCAAGTCCAAGTTCCTACAGTTGAGTGCACAATGGCCAATATGTTGAGAAACAAGATGTTGGGGCAAGGAAGGTGGCATTATTTCCAAAAGCCAGCAAACCGAGAGGATGGCAGACTAATATCCTAAAGAACCATCTTAAGTTAACATGAATTTCAGGCTCCTTCTATTTTAGGGGAAGATGGAAGAGTGAAGGAGCTGAGGTCAAGAGGTTACCGATGATCACAGACATCTGTGTGACAGCAAGGGTCTAGGGTCTGGGGGCTTTGTGAAGCTTCTTTTTCTTGGTCAGGTCACAATGCTCCTACAAATCTTTAACACAACATTAGTACTTCTATGTATACCCTCCTTATCTCCTTAGGGGTTAGTTTTGGGAAGGAACTATTATCTCCTTGCTTTAAACTATAAACTAAATTCCTTCCATGGTTAGCTGGGCCTACTGCAGAGATAAGCAAAAGCGGTTAAGCTAAAAGATATCACCTTGGTGGGGAGTGAGTGGTTGGAAGCAAAATGGAGTTAGTCATGCTAGGTCTCCTTTTCACTGCTACGATTTAACAAAATAAGATAAATTGAGGTTTCATCAGCTTATTATGAATAAATGGTACAAAAATTCTAGTCCCCATTCTCTCCCATCTTTCCTCAAATTTGTTATTTCTTCATATGATCTTCCGCTTCCTGACCCATATACAGTCTTCTTTCCCTAAGTACTAGCTCCAGTCCTCTGTTCTCGGTGTACCAAAGGGGATTCCAATCATTAATATTGTGTGATGGTTGAGGGCTTGAGTCTTTAGGTGAGGCAATCTGGGTCGGAAAGCCAGTTCTAGGGTACATTCTTTGACTGACTTATACTTGAACTATTCCTCATCTGAAAAACTGAAAAAAAAAAAAAAAAAAAAAAAAAAAAACACAAGCAAACAAAAAAAACTAGAAGTGCTTTTTAAAAAAAAAAAAAAAAAACAAAACCAAAAAAGCAAATACTTTCTAAACCAATTAGAATATTATCTGGCATAAAACACTCAGCAATGTAAGTTATTAGTGGTGGGAGTAATACTATTAATCTATATACTATTATTTCTTGGCTTCAAACACCACACTCTACTTTTATTCCTTGACATTAACTATCATTTATACACTGTTGACTTCTAAATTGAAATTTCTTTTCTAGACATCTATAAGAAAATGATTAAAAAATACAGTCTCTCAACAAAATGTTAGCAAATCAAATCTAACGAAGTATAAAAAGAAAATTATATACAACAACCAATTGTTGGATTTATCCTAGGTATGCAAAGCTGGGTTAACATTTAAAAATTAATGTAATTCCACCTTGGGAGGCTGAGGTGGGTGGATCACCTGAGGTCAGTTTGGGAACAGCCTGGCCAACAGGGTAAAAAACCCTATCTCTACTAAAAATTAAAAAAAAAAAAAAAATTATCCGGGCATGGTGGTACATGTCTGCAATCCCAGCTACTCAGGAGGCTAAAACAGGAGAATCACTTGAACCTGGGAGGTGGAGGCTGCAGTGAGCTGAGATTGCACCACTGCACTCCAGCCTGGGCGACAAGAGTGAAACTCTCTCTCTCTCCAAAAAAAAATTAATGTAATTCTTCACATCAACAGGATAAATTAGAAAAATAATATGATTATATGAATAGATGCAGGAAAATCACTTGACAACACCAATCCGTGATACAAAACTCTCAGCAAATTAGGAATAGAGGGGAACTTTCTCAACTTGATAAAGAACTTCTACAAAACATCAACAGCTAACACCATAATTAATGGTGAGAAACTAAGACACTATTCCCATAGGATTGGGAATAAGGCAACAATTTCACCTCTCATCACACCTATTCAACAGTGTACTAAAATTCTTAGCTAATGCAATAAAAAAAGAGAAAAAGATATATAGGTTGGGAAGAAAGAGACAAAACTGATTGTTCACAGATGACATGATGTTCTATACATAAGATCCCAAAGAGTCAACGAAAAATAACTCCTTGAAATAATAAGTGATTATAGCAAGGTTGCAGAATACAAGGCTAACATATCAAAGTCAATGTCTTTCTATATACCAGCATGAACATTTAGAATTTGAAATAAAGAACTTAATACCATTTATATTAGTACCAGAAAAAGTAAAATACTTAGGTATAAATCTAACAATTATGTAAACAATCTCTTAGAGGAAAACTATACAGCTCTAATTAAGAAATTCTTCAAAAGATCTGAATAAATATAGAGATATTTCAAATTCATGGACAGAAAGACATTATTGTTAAGTTGTCAACCTTTCTAATTTGATTTATAGATTCAATGCAATCCCAATCAAAATCCCAGAAAGTTATTTTGTGGATATCACCAAACTAATTCTAAAGTTTGTATGGAAAAGCAAATGACCCAGAATAGCCATCAGAATACTGAAGAAGAAGAAGAAAGTTGAAGGGCTGTCACGACACAGCTTCAATACTTACTATAAAGCTACAGGAAAAAAGACAGTGTGGTTTTGGCAAGAAAGACGACTCATAGATCAATAGAACAAAATAGAGATCCCAGAAATAGACTCACACACAGTCAAAGGAGCAACGGCAATTCAATGGAGAAAGGATGTTTTTTTTAACAAATGGTGCTAGAACAGAGATACATCCACATGCAAAAAAATGAATCTAGACTTAGATCTTACACCTTTTAGAAAAAATAACCCAAAAACAGATCAAAGACCTAAAAGTAAAATGTAAAATGATAAAACTCCTAGGAGATAATGTAGGAGAAAATCTAGATATTTGGTTTGGAGATGATATTTTAAATATAACACCCAAAGTAAGATTCATGAAAGAAAAAAATTCATCAATATTAGCCCATCAATTGTAACAAATGTACCACACTAATGCATTAATAGAGGAAATATGGCCAGGGAGAGAGTGAGATAGGAGATAAGAACAAAGTACTCTTTGTCCTTTCTGAACAATATTTCTGTAAATATAAAACTGCTTTAAAATAAAATCTATTAAATAAAAAACAAAACAAAACAAAAACCACAGGCTCTAGAGCTAGAATTATTTGGAACCCAATACTATTTCTACTTCCAAGCTGTTTGAGCTCAGGTGTTACTTAACTTCCATAAGACTACAGTTACACTGGTAAAAAGGAAACACTGATAGTCCTATTAATTGGATAATATTGATATTTATATGAGATAATGCTTATCATGTGTTGAGCATAGTGTCTCAAATTATTTTATTCCAAACTCATATTTGTAAACGACTTACTGGATGTTCTACAGGAATCAAAAATCAACAAGCCCCCAAAGTAAATTATCTTTACTCCTCTGCTTTCACACTTGGTGTCTCCTGTGCCTCTACCTCGTTGGTTGTTCTATAGCTGTTAGTACATTTGTACTAACTAGAAACAAAGATAATCTTGACGACTTTCCCTCTACTTTACTTCACATACATAATTGGTCACAAAATCATTTTAATCATATCATGTAATTAGTTTTATAATCCAACCTCTTCTCCCTTCATATTTCTGTATTAATCATCTTAATCTAATCTACTATATAATCCTCCAAATTGAAGTCTCAGACTTCAGGGTAACCTTTGTACTTCTTATTCATCCTCTACACTGCTGTCTGAATAATTTTTTAAAAGCCAAATAATATCCTACTTATAATTCTTAAAAGGGTTTATATTTCCCTCTTGGGAAAGTTCTTCTTTCCCAGTAGGATGCATAATCTGTCTTTCTTACCTCTTTGGCATTACAGATTTACGTACAGTATTCAGTCATGTTAGCCCACTTGAAATTTACTATACATTCTCTATGCACTCATGTCATTCCTTTTTCCTGAGACACATCCCATCTCCTTTTTTCATCTAGACAATTCTTACTTATATTTGATACCCAGATTAGGCTTCACTAAATCACTTCCCTTTCCACGCTGCTCTTATAAATAATATGTCTTCACTTCTGTACCACTCCAGCTAACCATTACACACTGAAAAAGTTTGTTTTCCTATCCTTGCAAACTAAATGTAAGCAACCTGGAATCAACAATTACACAGAATTCAAACCTATATCCCAATAACTAGCTAAGTCATTAGGACATAAAATGTGCCCATCAAATATCTGTGAATGTTGGAAGAAAAGAATGGAGGAAGGAAAGATGGAGGGGAGTATGGAGGAAAAGATGGTAGTAAGGTGTGATGGAAGAGGGAAAGAATGGAAGAAAAATTAATGCAGAGACTACTTTGGTAAGCTCCCTTAAACAAAGAGAAAGTAAAACATTTAGTTAGATCGACATTGACCAGGGAATTGAGCCATGTTTTAGAGCTATCTAAGTACACATACTGGTCTGGAAATTAATTCTAAATCCATCTAATTATTCTGAGTTTTCAATAACTCTCTTCTTTTCAATCTAGATAATTACTTCCTAGGCTGCAATAATATTGAAATATTTTATGTAACTGAAAATAGAGTCCATTTTAAGATGATAATATTTATACACCCCAGAGGAAAAAAATGTCAAACTTTAACAAAACTACCAGACACATCTTCACTTCAGAGATGTTGAAATGTGGAAAAAACACATTGTAGAATCTATGAAATATAGGTATATACAAAATGAAACAAATTCTTGTAGACCATTAATCATGTACCACAAAAGAACAGAGACACTTGCAGCCATTGCTTGTACTCATAAAAAGCACCAAATAGCCAGAATAACCACCATGATCTGAACTTTGGTTCAAAAATTTTCAATAGCCACTGCCAAGAAAGAAACATGATAGTTTACATGATTCAGAAAGTATATAAAATGTTCACAAGTTCAGGTAAAACCAGTTATTCTGGAAACAAAAGACAAAAGAAAAAAATTCTACCTTTTCTATCAATTCTTAGGAGCTCTCTTATGCAAAAAGAAATGTTGCAAAACCAACACCTAGATGTGCTTCTATGCAATACACAGACACAAAATGATCCTAATTCAGTATGCCTTAATATTGGAAATCCAACCAGCCCTGAAAGATAAATAGTTTCCTTTTTCTTTTCCCTTTTTAGGAACTGGCATAATAAATGCCAAATATATTTAATTTTTCACAGTATCACTTTCTCCAAGATTATAGCATTGTTTGAATATTTGCGTAATTAATAGAGGGCAAAGTCATTTTTTAGCCGTGAGAAGAAGACTCATTATTTTAAAAACAAACTAAAATTATAAAGATATTAATATTATGGTATGAATCAAAAAATCAATTCAGGCATTAAGCCAGATACACAAACATTGAGTGGCTGAACAACAATCCTCCCTTCTGGACAGGATGCATCATCAAGGTCAAAATTTACATAGTAAACCATCAGCATAAAATCAGAGGTCAATTGGCTGAAAAATGAGTACAATTTTAATACAAATAATTGGCAAGGCAAGTGTGCATTAAGGCAGAAGCATTGCCAATGAGGAGGAATTTCCTCCTTGGGAATTTAATTTTGTTGAATGAGTTGAGCAACTTCACAGGTAGATACTTTAGTTCAAATGGAATTTAAATATTCCAACCATGGCACAATGAAGTAACTATAATTTTGCTAATCCAAACATTTCTTAACTTTTCCTCCATTCCACAACTGATTTTAAACATCAGGTATCTTGTATATTTTTATTTGCTGAAATGCCTAAATTAGAGCCATCCTAATTGTAAACTCAATTTCCTCACAACAGAAAATCTCCTGAAGGATTTGTAAATTACTGCACTGTTATTAGAACTTCATCACTACAGGAAACAGCACGTTTTTGCTAATAAAAACTTTGACTTTTTTCAACACTATTTCCTGCAATATTGCAAATAATCCCAAAACAAATTCAAACCCTAAAGGGCCACATAAACTGTGGAATAAATGGGACGCCTTCTCACCCATTGGGCAGTAAGAGAGGATGGAGAGGAAAGTGCCTAGAGAAGAATTTTAGAATGAGATTCCTAATGGTCTGTGACATTCCATCACAATTACTTATTGATTTTATTTGAAGAGACTCACCACAGGCTTTATGGAAAGCAAAATAAAAAGTGATGACCTGTTATTATTTTGGGAACTAAGGGAGCCTTATGAAGACTCTATTTTAACCTTAAAAGTCAGCATAAAATTATTTAGTTGATCTATTGCCCCCAACATTGCATTTCCAGTGTGCATGTGGACTTTTCGTGATTGTCTCTATCAGTTAGACACTGTTTGGATCCATTTTTGAAAGGCAGCCCATTGCAAAGCTGTCAAAGTCAATTATTTGCAGGGATGTAGGGTAAAAGAGGTTGTCATTAGGTATAAGTGATTTTGCAAATTTATGAATTTCCTAAAAAACAATAAAAATTATTGCTGAATATATTTAAAAAACATGTGGGAGTCAAGAATTCTAGAATATTGTGTTTTGTTCCTACTTTTGATTCTACACAGTAAGGAAAAGCTATTAGGTAAACAAAAGAAAGATAATCCAAGTCATTAAATATTTCTTCCAAATGTAAATTCAGGTCAAATCTAAAAATGCTATTATTCTTTAGAAATCTAGTAACCAGAATGCTTCAAGACATCCAACTTCTCGCTTGGGTGGGTGCTGCTATGATCTGCACAGGTAGAGATGTTTTAATACATAGTTTATAGCCAGTGAATTTGGAACCAGGGTGCAACCTAATTTTTTATTTATTATTGATACATGTTAATTGTACATTTTTATGGGATACATGATCTCAGCAATTTAGCTGTGTTTTTCAAAAAAGTATATGGGCCTCTAAATCAGAATCATTTACAGTGTTTATTTAAAATATAGGTTTCTGGGCCTCACACCTCAGACTGAATCTCAGAATAACTTTGGAGTAAATACTAGATATTAGTAATTATGCTTAGATTTTTACAACTCATTTTGAGATCCTTATGCACAATAAAATTGGAGATTCACTGAATTAAAACAAATACATAGTGGACATGTTCTTAGGTTTACTCTATATTTCACTGGGAGATACTTCTGGATTGAATAACAGACAACAAACAGACTTCTAAAATGTTAGAGTTTAAACTAAGTTGTATTCAAACCGTTTAGAAAAATGTGTTTTTATATATAATTGCCCTAGATTAAATGTTAACAGAAATAATACAAATTAGTCAATATCCACGTCGAATGAGGATAATAAATGCACTTGTCTTTACACAGTTATTCAGTCATGAGTGGTCAGAACCGTCACTTTGTGATTTAACCAGAGAAAATATTCAGCTCCTACTCTCATCTATATGTATATTCTGAGGTTATTTCGAATATCCTTAAAAGATTACTTTAATCTCCAAATTACATAAATCCAAACTAATGAAGATGAAGGCTTTAGCACCACAGAGATTAAGACTGGAAAGGAACTAAGGGGTCATTTAGTCCAGGAGCTTCATTTTACAAAGTTGAAATCATAGATGTTAAGGTGAGCAAAAAGACAGAATTCTTGATGCTTAATCCACTGCTCTTTATTTATCACTGTCTAGACTACAGGGCCTTCTTCTATTGTTGTCGTAAACATTCCTTAAATAATAAAACTTCTCTTTTGACAGCTTTTAATTGTTTGGACTACTGCAAATAGTATGGCTAATATTTTATATTCATCTAACATGTGCTCTAAACTGTATATTCCATCAATTAAATATAGTACAGAGATGTTATGTGCAGCAATATCTACTAATATTTGTGCTATTAAGCCATACAACTACTTTAAAAATGCTTTTTCTTTAACCATATATATATATATTTTTTTGAGATGGAGACTCACTCTGTCACCGAGGCTGGAGTACAGTGGCGCAATGTCGGCTCACTGCTACCTCCGCCTCCCGGGTTCAAGAGATTCTTGTGCCTCAGTCTCCTGAGTAGCTGTATTTCTAGTAGAGACAGGGGTCTCACCATGTTGGCCAAGCTGATCTTGAACTCTTGACCTCAAATGATCCATCTGAAGGAAAATAATCATTATATATACATATATATATATATATATATATATATATATATTTTTTTTTTTTTTTTTTTTTTTTTTTTTTTGAGGCAGAGTCTCGCTCTGTCACCCAGGCTGGAGTGCAGTGGCGCAATCTCGGCTCACTGAAAGCTCTGCCTCCTGGGTTCACGCCATTCTCCTGCCTCAGCCTCCCAAGTAGCTGGGACTGCATGCGCCCGCCACCATGCCCGGCTAATTTTTTGTATTTTTAGTGGAGACGGAGTTTCACTATGTTAGCCAGGATGGTCTCGATCTCCTGACCTCGTGATCCACCCGCCTCGGCCTCCCAAAGTGCTGGGATTACAGGTGTGAGCCACCACGCCCGGCCTCTATCATTTTTAAATAATATTCTTCTTATGATCTTATACCTACATCACGACCGATCTATATACTTTACTTGAAACATAAAATTAGACATGGAACTTATTAAAAATTTTAATGGAAAGAAAATCAAAATCTTACATTTTGCATATTTTATGCTTTCTTATAATTCAACTCAAAGTATACTGAAGAAAATACAGATAGTGTTACTCTAAATCATTTGGATAAAATGCAATCAGCTAATTTGGTTCCTAATAACAATATATATCAGAAAACTTTATCCTTAATTTACTGCAATAGCCAAACAGGATGGGACAAAATGTATGACTGTCTTCAGGGAATAGAATATGGGCAGTTTGGAGCTTCTGAAGTTTAACCAGAGAACTTTGCTTTGAAGAAGAGAAGCTTGGTAGGGTCTTTTAAAAGCTTTCACATGTATTTAAGGCTCAGGCCTATTTCATGTGGCTACAGAATACATAACTATAGGTAGAAGTTGTAAAAATACATATTTCAGTTCATTATTTGGAATAATATTCTCACAGAGTAGTTTGAAATCAGGACAGTTTGCCTCAGATGCTCTACTGAGGACTTAGGCATTTAATAGTGAATTGAGAATCATTTGCTGCAAGTAACCTCAAATGAAACAGCATCCTCTGCCAATTTTTCTGCAGTTAAAAGTCAAAGTGCAGTACATTTTGAACCACTTTAATGGTACATAGAGCTGACAATTTCTCAAAAAGTATTACATCCTTTTAGAAGACAAAAACCATAAAAGAATCTGAGGCACTTCTCTAACATACAGTCTGACATCAATATAACATTAAACTATAGACAACAGTAAAATTCTATAAATTGTTATGCAATATAACTACCATATATCAATACAGATCAATTAAATATATATATACCTCAATAATAATTGCTAATATTTATCAAACACTTAATCTTTCAGGTTCTGTTCTAAGAATATTGCCTAAATTAACTCATTTAATCCTCCTCACAGCTACTCTATTATTTCCCATTTTTTAGGTAAGGAATCTGAGAGATGGGGGAAGGGGATTTATATTACACGCTCAAGTTCATAACGTCGGTGTGTAATTGAACCTAGGCAATCGACTCCACAGCTCACCCTCTTAACAACTATGCAATGTTACCTCCACGCAGGAAGCAAGGGACTTACCTGGATATTACACAACAGGAATAATGACAAGTCAGCATTTATAAAAGCATTATTCAACATAAGCAATGACAATATTCATTTGAGCAAAATTACTATTCCTTCCTTAATAAATGGCAGTCCTCTCCCCCCTCCTTAAAAGGAATGCAAACTATAAATGATCTCAGATTAGAAGGAACTAAAATTCCTTCTTACATTTATTCTTGTCAGAAGCACAATCACCAATAGTTTTATAAGCTACAGCATCTTTAAAATTGAGAAAATAATGTACATACATACTATATATGAGATATAGTATATACTATATACTATACCACCACATTCTCTCTTCTCTGATGTCAGTAGGAAACTTACCCAATCCTCTAAGTTAAATTTTCTTAGCACTTGTGGAACATACGGTGCACCGAGGGTCAATTCTTTCAATTCTACTCAAGCAGTCACTTCTCTTAGGTGTATAAAATCAAATATATATATATATTATATTTATATATTATATATAATATATATTTTATATATACACCTTTAAAATATATATATATATATATATATAAAAATGAAAAATAAGGTGAGATCAACTAATAAAGGAAAGGTTTGGCTAAAACACATTTATCACTATGGAATTCCTGGCTTTAAAAGATAAAAATACGTAGATCACAAAAATAAAAATCATGAAAACTTTCATCCTAATATAGACAAGAGTGACTATAAATTATTTTTGACAAAAAATAAGAGAAAGCCTAAAATACAGTCATGACAGAAATTTATTTAACCAATCTCCATGCATTATTGACAAAGAACTTGACAGAAGCCATAAATCTAAGTACCAAATCATGGGATCCATTCAGCTTGGTGGTTAAGAGGTGAAGAGCTATGCCATCTGAAAGAAGTACCAAGATGGAAATCTTGCAGGGAGGTCAGGTAGAAATCAGTGAAGGAGAGAGCAACCAAGGTTTCCCAATTAGATGGAAAGTAGAAAAGAGCAGAATGGAAAGACATACAGAAAACCATGTAATAACATGAAAGGAATTAAGGAACATTTAAGTCCTTTAGAAGTGTGCTGAGTCTGAAGTAGTTTGTAGTGCAAGGTTAAGATGACTGTAGCATTTTTTGAGTGGAATACACTGAGGAGAAACAAAAACAGTCTAATGATTTCCGTGGCTTCTAGAGAGTTGCAACATTCATTTTCTGCAGTTTAAATTATGTTTCCTATGGCAAGAAAATAGCTGCATAGATAAACTTCCCTGGCAAAGTTATTTTTGATCTAGCAGAACCCAGTAATTCCAGACTGCAGAGACAGCAGGTAACAAATGTCCCCTTCAAAATCCAAACCCAAATTAGATAAGTCTGTGAGCCCTCATTGGTGAAATGGTCAGACCTGAGCTTCCTTTTAAATAACACTCCCAACACACTCTCTATTAGGTGTCCTACATGCTTCCTGGAATCAAATCAGGATGTTACTCCTGCTTGGCTCTGCCTTGGTGCTGAGGCTGCTGTTTTTCAACTGCCATGTAGCTCCAAGTAATTGCCAGCTGCTCTGCCAAAAATGCCACCTGACCTTGCTGCTCATTATTGATTACTGTCTGCTGCAGCTGCCACCAGACAAGGGCTAGAGACCTGCCCCAGACTGCTGCTCATAGGGCTGTCCCTCTGCTTCCAGCTGCTGCTCAGCACTTCTCTCAGTTTGATGACCTCACCACTGTACCTTCCACTACTACATTATCTCTTCTCTGATGTCAGTGGGGAACTTACCCAACCCTCTAAATTTAACTTTCTTAGCACTATTGGAACATAAGGCACACCAAGGGTCAATTCCTTCGATTTTACTCAAGCAGTGGCTTCTCTTAGGTGTATAAAAGTCACTGGTGGTGGTGGTCCATAGGGTGGGGTGGCTACAGCCTGGTTCTAGACAGTTTCAAAAAATAGTGCACTGAAGCACTGCTCTCTTTTCCTTGTTAGCCACAGTTGCTGAATCCAGCTCCACAATGATGATATTATTTTAAAAGATTATTACTTTCTGATGGGTGATGTAATACATCCTGACAGTTTGCTTTCCATCACTGCTATCAGTCACAAACTACTCGTCCATAAAGTTTGGTAGATATACCAGAATATGTCTAAACATCAACACTGTAAGGTTTTAATTAATTTCCCAGAAGTCTTTTCTGCCCCCATATAGATTATTGGGCACAACAGATATATGGGTTGTGTATTAGTTTCTAGTGGTGTGTAAAAAATTATCATTTAGTGGCTTGAAACAACAAAAATTTTTCATCCTGTTTCTGGTGGCCAAAAGTTTAGGAACAACATAACTGAGTTCTCTGCTCTGGGTCTCATAAGGTTGAAATCAAAGTGTTGGCTGAGCTATGTTCTCGTTTACAGCTTGGGTCCTTTTCCCCCATTCAACTTGTTGGCAGAATCCAGTTTTTCATTAGAGTCCTCTTGCTATTCCCTGCCATGTGGGTCTCTCTACAACATGGGAATTTGCTTTTTAAAGGCCAGCTTATGAACAGTTTCTTGCTCACTGCTCCTGTTCTTTGTCTTTATTAAAGGTCTACCTGATTAGGTTTGGATAATCTTTAAAGTCCACTAACTAGGGGATTTATTATTACATCTGCCAAACATGTTTTGCCACATAACATAATAAAATCAAAAGAGTGACAACACATCTTATTCACAAGTCCAGCTTGCATTCAAAGGGAAAAGATTACAAAAGGCATGTGTACAAGGGAGAGAATCTTAGGGACCACCTTAAAAATTCTTTCTATCACAAGTGGACTGGTTAACTACTTTTGCTTACCATATATGTAACTTTCAACTCCCTTTCTAGTATAGGTAAGTTTATTTCCTTGCTAAAAAAAATAGGATCCTTTCTGCCTTTACAGTTAAACTGTGAATTGTATTACCCTACATGACTCCTCAACTAGACACAGTCATAAGCCATTAGCTTTAAAGCTAAGTATAGTTCTGAATCAACTCAGGATTCACTCCCTAACCATTTGGGTTGACTCTGGCTTTCAGGGGACTTTGAATACATACGAAATGACTTAGCTCAATCCTATTCCTGAGAACCTGAGGCCATTTTGGCATCAAGGTCATGTATTTCAAACCTTTTAGGATTTTTAATTTGATAGCAAAGAAAAGGAAGAAGAAGTCCCATTGCCTTATTCAGGTTATCAGAATGTATATGACATTGGGGACTAAGATCCAATTGGTATAAGGTTAGTAGCAAAGAAAAATGTGCAGCAGGCTTTAAGAAGTATGTTTGGATATGTTAAATATGGATTTTATTTCATGGAGTTGATCACAGGTCCTCCTGGAAGGCTGTCTTAATGAAAACCTTATAATATACAAATAATTGTTATCTACAATTGGATCTGAACTCAAGGTTCTCACCTAACTGGGGTCATTATAGAATTATGAAGAATCAATGCTCCTGCTAAGAAGTAACATTTCTTTTCACCAATGTGCTAAATCATAGGTAAAATTAAAATATCTTGAACTATAACAGTCAATGTTTCTCTAGATAAAAGGGAAATCATATCTAAGCCCATAATAAAAGGGAAGGAGCTAATCATTTGAATCTGAACAAGAATTCTTCATTGAACATGATAAAAATCAGTGTTTATATGCATTTTCTTCATTTTCTTTCATAGTGATATTACTAAGTTGGGTAAAAATAATATCTAAGTAGATTACTTAAATAAAAGCAAAAACAGCTCTGCCAATACCTGGCATAAGACCCCACTTGTTCTGCTCATCAACAGCAGACATTCATTGAGTGACTTCTATGTGTGAGGCAGGTACCAGATTCAATACCACCCTATTTAACATCAACTGTCTTAAATTCAACTTCTACTTCTCTGTTTAAATCTGTGTATTATCATGTTTTCTGTTGTGCAAATTCAAAACTTTGTATTTCCTTGGCACTTCCCATCTCCTCCATTCACCATAACTAATCCTGTTGGTAGTTTTATTGTGATACCCATCACACAATTCCTTTCATTTTTATTTTCCCAGCACTCTTCTTAAGAACTATGTACCATAATTCTATATGATTGCATTGACTTTCTAATATTCAATTGGATTTTCTGACTAAAATTACTATTTCCAAATTTTCACATATATAACTGCTATATTAATATTCCTAAATTCCTAATGGAGGCTTATATTTTCTTCATATTATATTTCAGCGTCATTTGCCAGATTCTGCTCTAACTTATGTATTTTGTTATCTAAGCCTTGTAACAATCTAGGTAAAATTTTATTTCCATTTTTGAGAGGAAGAAACTAAGTAAAATAATTACCAAGGAAGCTTTCTTGGTATAAATTCCTTGGAAGAAATTGAATAAAATAAATACTAAGTTAGATCCAGGTATCTGATGTTAAAGCTTCTTCTTATAATTACTACTGCATTGTCTTCCCATGTAAATTAAGAACCTGGAATAGTGCCCATTACCCATGAAGCTAAATCCAAGTTCTTCACATTGGAACTCAAATCTGCTCTTTTGTTAATTCCTGAAAATATAGAAGGTCCCTGTTTTATGATGTCTGACTTGTGATTTTTGACTTAACAATGGTGCCATATGCATTCAATAGAAGCCATATTTCAAATACCCATACAACCCTTCTGCTTTTTACTTTTAGTACAATATTCAATAAATTACATGTGATATTCAACTTTTTTAAAATAAGCTTTGTGTTAGAGGATTTTGCCCAATTCTAGGCTGGTGCAAGTTTTCTGAGTGTTTAGGCAAGGAAGGCTAGGCTAAACTATGATGTTTAGCAGTTTAGGTGTATTAAAGACATTTTTGACTTAGGATACTTTCAACTCATGATGTATTTATCAGGATGTAACCCCATTAGGGGAAGAGGCTCTGTATATAAATTACTTCTCCTATTGCCCTTTTTCTGGCATTTGAAATGCCACCATTCTGTATCTATTCAAATTTGATTTATCTTTTAGGCTGACTTCAAGTTCTGTCCCTACCTTGAGGTTGTCTCAGGCCACAGGTTATTGTGATGTTCCTCTCATTAAAAGTTCTTAAACATCTACCTCAATTTTGCACTGATAAATATCCTCTTAAACTGTGGATATTTGATTATTTTATTATACTGTGTAACATTTGACTTATTGAGAAAATATAAAGTATTTGAAGACAGTAGGCTCTAATTCAATGAAAACCTATTAAGGCCCTTCCATGGGCAAGCTCCTACAATGAGAATGGTAAGTTGAATTCACCTCTATATAAAAGTGAATAAATGTGCTTTCTGAAAAAGTTTCCTTTCTGTGAAACAATTTCTGGGGCTATGAGATAAAGATACAAATTATGGGACAAAGACACAATAACCACAGGAAAATAAACACTTAAATATACCATAAGAGAGCTCATGAAAGGTTTAGTAAAGTAATTATATTTTGAGAGATGATGTACAATATCATGGGAACAAAAAGAAGAAATATGAATATGGAAACAGGTCATATACTGCAGGAAGAATGAATAGACTAGTCTGACAAAATGCAACACAGGAAACAAAAGGGTAGAAATTAATAAAACAACAGATAGGACAAAGCAGGGAACACTTTAAATGGCAGGCTATGGATTTCGGATTCTCTTTGAGGATGCAACATGGTGTGAGTATCAGCTCATAATGAACACAGCATCTCACCACACATAGTTGCTGTTAGGATTAAAGAAAATGGTGTTCATAAAACACTAGCATAGGGCCTGGAAATAACAGATGTTCATCAAAGGGTACCTTGTTATTATTATTCCATCACAGTTCTGCTTCATAAACATAAAACTGCCAATATTCCACAGGATGGGGACAAAAGTTAGAAATGGAGGCAGACCACCTATTAATGTGTCTCTGAAAGGACAGACAGATTCTCAGGGCACTGAAACTCAATAAATATTGGCGGGTGCAATAAGAAAATCATGAGTTCATCTGTCTTTCTTAGAACATAGTGGACATTCATGCTCTCTCCGAGAGATGTGAAAATAATTGGAAAAGAATAATAACTATAATTTCTAAATAATACTCCCTTTAATAGTCACATTTTTCTCCAAAGGGAACAATAACTTCTAATGGTGGGAGATGGATTCTGTTGGAAACATAGAATACTATTGCCTTGCCCTTTCCAGCATCTCAGACATTTCATTTCCTTCACTGGAATCGTTTTGTGTACATTACCTCAGGCTAACCATCTTTGCAAAGCTTGGGTTCCAAAAAAAAAAAAAAAGAGAGACTAAGTGGAAAGGAATAATTTTTAGTCTTTCAGTCTTCCAATTTTCAGAGGCATATACTTCATCAAGTGTTTAAAAACTTGTTGATGGCTCTCTCCTTCCATGGGGAGTAGGCTTCTTGTAGCCACAGTCAGCTCAGTATGTTCTTCCATATTTGCTCTTTTAAAATTCTTCTGCTTAATTTCTATAAGGCTTTTTCTACATAATTTCCTTGCTATAGTTATTCTCCCACTTTGTATGGCTTTTTTCCTAAATAATTTTTTCTTAATTGTATTAAATATGTAAATAGTCACTTAAATAAAAACTCTCGAAGTTCCCAATATTCTAAGTAAACTAAACATACAATTTTGTGGGGGAGTTTTTTTTTCCATTTGGTTTGAGTGTTCTCAAGAGAACACTTTCCAAAAATGCAGCTCAAAATGTAAAAAAAAAAAAAAAAAGCAAGTACTCCCCAGGCTTTAAACTATCTGTTGAAGATTCCAAAAAGAGAACTGAACTTCTCTCCTGTCTCATAAAAATTCTTTTTCAAATAAACTTTGTTTTAAAGCATAATACATTATTTTAGATAAATATGCAGATACAATGAGGAAAGAGATAAATTTGGCCAGAAATAAATAACACTTGCAATTATTTCCATTATACAAAAGAAGAAAAATAAAAAACAGGAAAGCTTTCATTTGTCTTTCCTGTGCCCCAGCTAAATGAACAAATACATGGAAGTCAGAACAGCTGTAGTTATAAGTGAATCGTGTCAAAAACAGTTAGGTCAGTAGCTGTGATGAAATCTGGTCATGAGACGTTCTTTAACAATGGGGAACAAACGTTAATTTGATTATCTTCTTGTGGTTGGTTTTACATCATGTTTTCAGTAGACTCTCATAGATGATCATCTTTCCTTAATTGTATTCTGCCTGCTGTATTCATCCATGTTTCTGGGACAGGACTAGTAAAGGGAATGTTGCTTTAGCACTTACATTTTCTTCTGAAGCTCTCTAATCCTTTCATGTGTTTCAATTCTTGTGAATAAACACAATGCTCTAGTTCTTACATATGCTTTTCTATGAAAAGTTATTGCTAACCCAATGACTTCCAGCTCTACAGAAGTCAATCAAGAAGTTAATTTTTGAAACTTTTTAAACCCTTTAAAAATCACTGCTCAAAACTTATCAATTCAGGTCTGACTTGCTACCTTTGTATTGATTTGAACATTTATTGTATTGATTATGTTAAATTCTCACTGTCTCAGCTTTTTATCTGGTATGTCTATCCATACCATTTTCTCCATTTTTATGTTCATTTTGTTTCTGCAACTCTGTAATAGGACTTGAAATATGTGCTCATAGAAGAAACCATTATACACATACATGTACACCTGCATGAACACACATCTATAAATACAAGTTGAAGAAAAGGGCTCAGTTCAAAAGATACTAGGACTTTGTCCATCTGTATTTTCACACTCAATTTTAATTCATTTTTATTTCCCAGAAAGTTAACTTTAGGAGACTTTTCATATTTTCCTTTTTGTATGCGAGACCTATACCTTTAATTATGTTAGACTTCTGGTGGGTTTAGATTATTGAAATAGCCATTGAACTTAAATTATGTTGAGAAATGAATAATGTACATTTTCAGTTTTGCAACATGTTCTGTCAAGATATCTCACTAAAATCAGCTCTGAGGAATGTTCAATGGGGCAGAAGGAAAAATAAAAATAATACGGGCCTTAGACATAAAATGTGAGATGGAGCGCTGTTCTTCACATATGAGATAAACAAGTATTCTGTACCTACATTTTCTGTACTGTAAAATAACAACACAGATTAAATATCCTCAACCTGAAAATCCAAAATTTGAAATGTTCCAAAATCCCAAAATGTTTAGTGCTGACATGACACTGCAAGTGAAAAATTTCACACATAAGTACTTAATACAAACTTTTCTTTATGCACAAAATTATTAAAAATATCATATAAAATTATCTTCATGCTATCTGTATAAGGTATATATGAAACAAATTAATTCCATATTTAGACTTGGGTCCCATCCCCAAGATATCTCATTATGTATATGCAGATATTCCAAAATTTTAAAAATCTGAAATCTGAAAGACTTCTGGTCCCAAGCATTTCAGATAAGGGATACTCAATCTGTATTAACAATCACATCATTGAGATGCTGTAAGGATTAATGAGATTACACATGAAAAGGGGTAGTACAGAGACTGGATTTCCTAGTTAGGAGCTTCCTCCTTTGTCTTCCCACTATTAATTTTATCCATATTTCAGAGACTTTCTCTGAAATATTTATTCATCCATATTAATTCAGTTGATTGCTTGAGAGACTCCTCAAAATAAGTTTCAAAGCAGGGACTTTACTTTTTTTTCCTTTTTAGAAAGAATTTTTTCTTGACTAGTATTGTAATAAAGACAAAGAGTACAGTAGCAAGAGGGTTCTTCACCACTGAATCCCCTGGCTGAAGCCACACTGAACACCCTCAGTCCAGGGGCTTACTCCACACCAGCTGAACACATACTGTCATGCCAACTGGCCTGGCTCCCACAGTTCTTCTCTGTTCAGCCACCAACTTGGTTTGGGTTCGTGATTAAAGATCCATATCTTTCCTTGTTTAACATGACTTGTTTTGTTATATTTTCATTTCTAAGTAAGATGCATCATCTTTATACCTTTTCTTCTGCTCTAAGGCAATTCAATAGGAAGTTGGTGTATCACACTTAGATTAAAGATTGATACAACAAATCCCTCCTGTGTAAAGAAAGGTCAGAGAAACTGACATGCAAAATTTATAAGGAATGCTTCTGGGGTACAGCTTACATACTTTCTGTGCATATCTGAAACCAAGGTTTTGTTTACCTTCTAAGTTTTTGTTGTTGCTGTTGTTGTTTTAAGCGGGTAATATAATAAGAAGCAATATTTTTAAGAGATAGGTATACATAAGAATTCTCCTTTTAACAATATTGGGTAATATATAAAAGTCAAAATTTTATATTAAAACTGAAATTTAGCTGTTCCCAGATTTTATACACACTAAACCAAAGTAAAAATTTCTTCCTATTAGGTCTTTGCAGATGAAGAAATTAGGCTGAAACATAAGAGTTCTAGGTAACAAGGTAACAACAAAAGAAAGATAAGAATGAGAGTCTGCAGCATATTGAAAGTATCATAGTTAGATCATAGTAAAAGGTAAGCAGAGAAAAGCACTTATTTTTAATAAAATGTTTATTCTTTAATAATTACAAGCTTATTTGCAAACCACATATTTTATAAGGGATTAATATCCAAAATATATACGGAACTCACACAACAAAATAACAAAAACAAAACAAACAAAAAACCCCCCAGATAATCCAATTAAAAAATCTACTCAGCAAAGGACCTGAGTAGATATTCTTCCAAAGAAGACATACGAATGACCAACAGGTATGTGAAAAGGTTCTCAATATCACTAATCATCAGGAAAATGCAAATCAAAATTACGAATAAGATATCATTTCATACCTGTTAGAATAGCTGTTATAAGAAGACAAGACATATGTTTTGGTAAGGGCATAAAGAAAACAGAGCCCTTGTACACTGTAGGAATGTAAATTAGTACAGCTATTATGGAAAACAGTATGGAGCTTCCTCAAAAAATTAAAAATAGAACTACCACATAATACAGCAATTCCACTTCTGGGTATATATTCAAAGGAAATGAAACCTGTATTTTGAAGAGATCTCTATACTCCCATGTTCATTGCAGCATTATTCACAATAGCCAAGACATGGAAACAACCAAAGTATTTACTGATGGATGACTGGATAAAGAAATTGTGACTATATACATAATACACACACATACACAGTGAAACATTATTCAGTGCAAAGAAAGACAAGTATTATATGATCTCACTTATATGTGGAATTTAAAAATTAAACTCATAGAAGCAGAGAGTAGAATGGTGGTTACCACGGGTTAGGGGGTGTGGGAAATGGGGAGATTTTGATCAAATGGCACAAAATTTCAATCGTAAGAGAAACAAGTTCTGGAGAACTAATGCATATTATGGGTGGTAATACATATGTTAATGACAGTTGTCTCTGAATATACATGGCAGATGGGTTCCTGCATCCTTCACTCCCATACAAAAAAAATCCACTTTGACTCAAGTCCCACAGTTGGGCCTGCAGAACTGGCGTATAATATGCAGGTTTTGCATCCTGTGAATACTGTATCATTGATTCATTTGGTTGAAAAAAATCCACTCATAAGTGAACCCATGGGTTCAAACCTGTGTTGTTCTAGAGTCAACTGTAATTTGATTGTGGTAATAATTACGTAATGTATACAAATATCAAATCATCATGTTGTATACCTTGAATATATTCAGTCTGTATTGACAAGTGCTTTAAAACTTAAAGTTTTAAAAAGAATTACCTTTGAAATTTCACATAAATTTTAAGTTTTAAAGTCAAGTTATACATGTACTTTTACATATACACACGTATTCTAAAACAGGAATATTAACATTTATTTTACAGGATTGTTGTGCAGAGAAAGATAATGAATGTAAAGTGCTTAGTTCAGTGCCTAGGACATAGTAAGTTTTTAATAAATATCTCAATATATAAATACACATGATCATAAATGTCACTCTTTATATTCTTGGCTCTTCACAACATACTCTAAAGATTCTCCACCTCCCCCACCCCACCCCCCCGCCCACACACACACACACACACACACACACAAAGACTGATGATATAAAACAATAATGGAAGTGAAAAGAACCCATGAGGGAGGAGGGAAAAGTACACCTTCGAGCCCTGTGGTGGTTTTAAAGATATGCTGACCAATTCTTTGATACTTCTTCCCTCAAGAGGTGAAGCTTGATTGCCTTCTTGAGTGTGGACTGAACTTAATGACTCACTTCTAAGAATTGGTTATAGAAGATATGATGGGATATCACTTCTGAGATTAGGTTATAGAAAGACTGTGGCTTCCATCTTGGGCTCACACTCTCTCATGCACGTGCTCTCTCACTTCAATTTCTCTCTCTGGGAAAAGCCATATTGGAAAAAACTCTACAGAGAATCCCATGTGGTGAGGAATGAAGCCTTGTGCCAACAGTAATGTCAGTGAGTCTGGAAGTAGAACCTCTAGCTCCAAGTAATTTTCAGAGACTACAGCCAAGACCAACAGCTTGACTGCAACCTCACGAGGGACCTAGAGCAAGAACAACCTTCTTCCGACATTCTTGATTCTCAATAACTGGGGAAAGTAATAAATGCTTGCTCTTCTACGTTTTGTGGTTTTTTTTTTTTTTTTGGAGACCAAGTCTCGCTCTGTCACCCAGGCTAGAGTGCAGTGGCGTGATCTCAGCTCAGTGCAAGCTCTGCCTCCCGGGTTCACGCCATTCTCCTGCCTCAGCCTCCCGAGTAGCTGCGACTACAGGTGCTGCCACCGTGTCCGGCTAATTTTTTTGTATTTTTAGTAGAGACGGGGTTTCACCATGTTAGCCAGGATAGTCTCCATCTCCTGACCTTGTGATCCGCCCGCCTCGGCCTCCCAGAGTGCTGGGATTACAGGCGTGAGCCACTGCACCCAGCATTTTGTGGTATTTTTACACAGTAATTTGTTACACAGAAATGGACAACTAAAACACACACTAAACAGTGACAACAGAAACTGATCCAAATAAATGATGATGGAATGAGACCAGAAAACAGGATTTTGGAGTTGTTGTGGACTCAGCCATTTCAACATGGAGCTCCAGCTTTCTGTCTACTTCCTTATTAATTGCTCAAACTCAACTTCTTTAATAAAGTCTAATATTATTTATCACCATTCTACTCATCTCTTAAATGACTCCAGTGGACAAATGTAAGTATCATTATTGCTGATATTTATGTTTTAATTTAATTTTCTTTTTCTATTTTTTTTTTTGGATTTGAAAAGTTTTTATTGTGATAAAATACATGTAACATGAAATATGCCATTTTAACCAGTTTAAGTGTATAATTCAATGGTGTTAATTATATTCACACTGTTGTGCAGCCCTCACCACTATCTGTTTTCAAATCTTTTCCATCACCCTAAACACAGACTTTGTGACCTTTAGGCAGTAACTCCCTATTCCTCTCTTCTCCCAGCCCTTTGTCACCTCTAATCTACTTTCTGCCTCTATGAATATGTGTTTTCTAGATATTTCATGAAACTACTAAAACTGTTTTAAAGTATTTCTTAAATGTGACAATAGTTATATCTTCTTATATGCGGTACTATTTTCTTTCCATATAATGGTTGTTAGATTGAGAGACCTTTTAAACATTAAAATGAATGTATTCATTGCACTTGAAATCATCTATCAGTTTGGAAAGAGATTTGGTAACTGCTTCTAAGTGGCTCACTCTTCAAGTAATAAAACATTGCCACATTTCACAACACCTATTCATTATTTTAATCTCAATATCTCTGTTCTTCTCCCTCACCCTCTCTTTCTCTGTCATTCCCTCTCCAGTCAGGCAGATGGGAGCACAGTGCTTTTTAATTAGACAATAATCAAATGCTGTCACTAATAATACATCATGAATCTTTCCATTACTACTAATGAAAAGAAGCTTTCCGTGGGTGAGAGTGGGGAAGAACAAAAGTTAGAAGGATATATATTTTTTCTCCTTTTGAATGAACTTTCAAATAAATACACAAACAATATACTGATCTTTATTTGGTCATGTTGTTGGAAGATGAATGATTAAAGAAAATACTCTTCAAAGAACCTCATCAATAATTACATATATCTGACTTTAGAGTACAATTCTGCTTAAGATCTATCTGAAATGTAGGAGGAGAGCTATAAAACATTGAATATTTTTTACATGGAAGATAATTCACTTATTCTCTGCTGAATATGTGATTCAAACAGGTTATGTTATTCAAATTTCTTATTTTAAGTTTAATTTATATTTTGTTTGTTAAAATAATAGCTTAATGTAAATTGAAGAAACATTTTCTAAAAAACAATTATTTATCATTGCTCCCTAGATTCTTATAATAGTTACATGATAATGATTTTGTTGTTGTGATTCTGTTGTTATTTCTAGCAACAATGCTTCATAAGAAAAATGTATGAGAAAATGTGTGAGATGTATGCATGTATGAGAATTTCAACATGAAAACCACTTAAGTATTTTATGAAGAACACATATTTTAGAATAAAAACTTGACTACTTAAAGATAACACTTTATACAACTGCCAAAACCTAACAAAATTAGAATAAAAAAGTCCTTTTTTATTTAAAAAATAATATTATCCAAAATTTCTCATGTTATTTTTCTTCCTTTTGCATCTAAAATAGGATGAATTAGTCCTATGGCCCCTTCTTTTACCACACTCGTCACCAAAAGTTTTGTATTTACATTCCTATGTCTTCAATTGTATGTAAGAAATTGGGGAAAAATGAATTGAGAAAAGAGATAATGATTCCAGTCTTGACTTTGCCATTATCTCTGAGACCTTGGCCATATTACCTCATTTTTCTGGGAGTCACCTTATTCAGCTACCAAATTAAGATTTGTACCAGTTTCGTTCAGCTACAGCATTTTATAAGTCTCAGATATGATATCCAGATCTTATATCTCCTGAATGCCAAAGCTTCCAGTATTCCTCTGTATCTATACATGTTTCCACTTGCTGATGCCTCACAGTCAAACTTATTCAAACTAATGAATCAGCTCTTATCTATGTAGCCATTCTCTGCTTTCCCTGATCAGGACATTATAATTTTCCATTATCCAGACTTGGGAATCCATAATTGCTTGACTCCTTCCTTCCTTTTACCTTCAACATCAAATCAGTTGCAAAATGGTTTCTCTTTCTGTCTCTCTGTCTCTCTCTGTCTCCCTCTCCCTTCCCTCTGTCTGTTTTACTAGTCTATTACCTTCAAAATTTCATCTCCACCATGCTATTTCTGATCTTTATTGCTACTCACTTGGACAATTGTTAAGGTTCCAATTTTATGTCCCTGCGGACAGCCTCCCTGCCATCTAGTGATAGCTGGAAATATTACAAGAAGGCAGGAATAATGCCATTCTCACCTATAGTATATAAGATAATATACAATATTAAAAAATTAGAGATGTCAGTTTACCCAAACTTTTGAATATCTCATAAATTAGTTAAAATTACAGCCCATTAAAATTATGGTTAAACTAACAGCCATCATAATATAATGTGGAGCAAATATTTTCCTAGCTTATGAATCATTCTCAGAAAACCTTATTGAGTACATTCAATGTACCAAATACTGTGCTAGATGTTAAGAAAAGAGAGATAATATTTTCTGCCTTTAAGAGCCTACTGCCTTGTAGAGAAGATAGAAATGTAAACAAAGATAAATGGCAATATGAATAGAACAAAATCCTGCATTGGAGGAGAAACATACATTATGCTTGATATTTAGCTTTTTGCAGCTTCAATTACCAAGAAAGAACATTTGTAATGCAAACAAAGCTGCTGCCCTCTATTTATCTTGTTACTTTGTTGTAAGAATTTAGTGAAACATATTAATTCTAAATTGCTTAGGAAGTACCTAGTATTACTGTAATGCAACTACAGATGCTGTGATATTATAATTTTGAAGCTGAAATTCAGTTTTATTTTTAATTTTTAATAAAACTAAAGCTATTAAAAACTATTTTAACATAAATTTTTTTAATTTTTAGTAAATATTTTATTACAATATTTAATTTTAATAATAAAAATTTTTTATTGAAATCATGATCATGCAATCAAACTATATGTGGAGATTCCAGGTAAAAAGAACTTCAGAGCAATTAAAACAAGTCCCATTTAGATATTTGTTTCTAAAACTTCTACAATTAAATCTCAATACCATTTGGGGGGTACTAAATATAGAAAATTAATTCAGCATACTATTAAATACAAATTAAACACATATAATTGTGGAAAAGAACCTTATCTTTCTAGTATATGTCTAGGCTAACACTTTATAATTGCAAGGAAACCATAAGGAATTTCAAGACAACTCATTATTAAAATAATTTTCTCATTATATCCTTGTAAAATTTCTAGTATCTAATGTGTGAAATACATTTACTATTTTTTATTACAAGGTTCATTCAGGCCAGGAAAGAGTGAGAGAGAGGGAGAGACAGAAACAGAGAGAGACAAAGAGACTCCTAATAGACATCCGGATAACTACATTTGTTTCATAGGTAAAAACTGATCCTCTAGACACACAAAAGTTAGTACATCCTAGAATTATTTGTACTAAGGAATTTCGTTGACCTGTCTGAGGAACATTATGATATAAATTACCTTTGATAAAAATCTAGTGAGGCCCAATTATGTAAAAGTATATCCAGATAAAATGCCCAGATAGGCTGCATGGACACCTATGAGACGTAGAATGAGTGTCAAAGAACAGTGTCTACTGATCTGATCCACACCAGCCATTAAAATCTTTTAAAGGAACTTTTCTCATGGAGAAACTTAATGGAACAATGATTGATGAATTTCTTTTTATTTTACACGTTCAGTGGTATAGGCCAATGTGGGAAAATTAGATGAATTGTCACTAGATATTTGAAAATCATAAAATAACTAACAAAAGGTGATACTTCAAAAACAAACAAACATTAAAATCCATCTGCTTGGAAAAAGAGAATATTCTTGATCCAAATACTGCATGAAGCACATACTTCACACTCTGGCCTTTGCCATTTGTGTATTCACAGGAAGAAAGGAGAAACATACCACTAATGAAAGAAAAATTTCTTTAGGTTTTATAGCCTGAACAATAACCAAATATCTACTGAGTTACTTTAATAAGGTGGTAATCACAAAATATCACCTAAAGAAATGTAAG
Source organism: Homo sapiens (assembly GCF_000001405.40). Taxonomy (NCBI): domain Eukaryota; kingdom Metazoa; phylum Chordata; class Mammalia; order Primates; family Hominidae; genus Homo; species Homo sapiens. Next base: position 83,074,967 of record NC_000007.14, read on the forward strand.
CAAAAACACAAATCTTAGTGGTCTCTAGCTGAAGGATAAAATCAATCCAATAAACAGTTGAATAAAGTACATCTGAAACTACTCCTTGATCATGTCACCACGTTAGTATTTTGAGTCCCTTAGAGACCCTTGCTGAAATCCTACTGTACTTAACAAAATGTACCGGTTTGAAAAAGAGGTTCATTTGTTACTATCAAACCTAAAAAGACACGTAAAAATTGAGAGATATCACCAAGTATAAGTGCTAAGTAGTATCGAGACATTTTATGGAATAGAAGACAGAGTTTCTAAGGACTATTTTCTTTTTTATCTATGACAACTTTTAACTTGATAGATTTGGATGAGGAGTCAGTCAGGCAAGAGTATAGTTGGTCCATTTCTGAGGACCTCAGTGAGATTAGGCCTTGCTCAATTATAACAGGTGTCACTTAGATGAGTTGGTCTTTTGTTTCGCACTTTCACCCCAAAGAAACCTGAATTCTAAACTGAATTCTAAACATTTTTAATATACAAAATGACTGCAGTAAAGATAGTAAACAGCAAAAATCCATGAGTTCTAAAACATGACAAGTGTTGTTTCTGTCCAAACTAAATTAAATGACACTAAGGACTGATAGGATCAAAGTAGAATATTACTTTGAAATAGTCCCTAGACTTTTAATGCATTTTTAAACCCTACACATCAAAACAGTAAGTCACAGTGATGTTCTCTGTGTAATGACAAGTTAAAATTTCGGGAAATTACTCATATGTATATACACACATACACACACATATAAATACCTTGATTTAATATGATTATGACATTTTAAATAATTATAAATATTAGCACATAAAGCCTACTTAATTTAAGTCTTCTAAACACATGTAATATGTCTAAGGGATTTTCTTTGATATATCTTTTATAGTTTACCAGGAAATAGGAGGTAGAAATGAAAGACAATAATGTGTGTAAGCAAAGAGTGTTAAAGAATTTTACACAGGAAAACTTTTTTTCACTTGCAGACCATTTTAAATATAATAAACCATAATTTTACTATAAATATTGAGAATGAATTAAAAATTGATGGCTAGTAATGCTTTGTATTTAATGACTAACACTGTATTATCTCAGCATGCCTCTGCAGACCATTCCTACACACCAGTTTCTTGGATTTAAAAAAAAAAAAAAACTCATACCTTTCGCAAGTCTCCTATAACAGTTCATATTGAAATGTTTATAAATCATTATATTCTCATAATTTATTCTTTCTATGCAGTTTTTCAACAAAAGAATCTTTCAAAGGGTAAATGGTGGAGCCATTCACTTCTTTTTTTTTTTGAGATGGACTTTTGCTCTGGTGCCCAGGGCGGAGTGCAGTGGCAAGATCTCTGCAACCTCCAGCTCCCAGGTTCAAGCAATTCTCCTGCCTCAGCCTCCCAAGTAGCTGGGATTACAGGTGCCTGCCACCACACCCAGCTAATTTTTGTATTTTTAGTAGAGACAGAGTTTCACCATGTTGGCCAGGCTGGTCTTGAACTCCTGACCTCAGGTGATCCGCCTGGCTCAGCCTCCCAAAGTGCCGGGATTACAGGCCTGAGCCACCGCACCTGGCAGAGAAATTTCACTTCTTAAAACCTCATGCAAAACATTTGTTTTCTGTTTAATGTTATTTTCCTTTTTTTTTTTTTTTGCAGTTTTTTTTTATTATACTTTAAGTTTTAGGGTACATGTGCACAATGTGCATGTTAGTTACATATTTTCCTTTGGCCAAAACCAAACAAAAAAGCAAATAAACAAACAAATCTCTCTAATCTTTCTAATCCTATGTTTAGCAATGAATGACAATTTTCTGAGGAACATGTGACCTTCCTACCTTTAAGGAGCTATCCAATAATCAGCTCTTAAACCTCTATTTATTCTAGATATAATAAGGTATACATGTGGAATAGTAAACACTATAAATCTAACATGGTTACTCTCGACATTTTTTGAGCATTGCTCTTACATTTAGAGCATAATAGCCTGCTTTAAACAATTAAAAGTATAATAATTTTAAAATTAAAAATGCATTGATATATATATATATTTTGCATATAGCATCTGTATGTAAAACTGCTAAGAGTTTCAGAAACACCTAAAATTCTTTCTTTTTGACTAAAATATGACTATAGTCTACATATAGGAAGCCCTTTTCATAGAAGCTAACATATAGAGTATAGCAAAGAAGTGGTATTTGCTACCTCATGAAAGAGTCCTGCTACCTTTTAATAATTGTTTCCGCTTCTTTGGTCTGTACTGCTCTATTGTTACCTCTTCTCTTTTCCAGCTTGTGTGACAAACAGGTCCAGAGAAGAAGGCAAAGGGCTCGTTCTTAGTCATTAACAATAGGATTCAATTGCAAAGGGGTCATCATAAACTCATGAATGCTTCATAACCTTTCTCATCTACCACTCCTTCCCTGGTCTCGTCCTGACTGCTTTCTGTTGTAGTAGTTGTTGCTGTTGTTATTACTGTTAGACTTTTTAAGTGGTTTCATCATCAAAAAAATAAGTGTGGAAGCCAGAACCAGCTTCTGCCAGACTTCATGCCAAGTTTAAAAAATGAAAACAATGAATAACTCTAACCACAAATAAAAATGCTTAAGGAATACATGCATTATTTTAGTAATAAAGGCAATCAGGTCTAGATAAGGTTCAGTCAAATGAGAAGCACAGATATTTGTTAGTGCCAGGAGGCGTTCTCCCTGTTGTGTTCTGACTTGAGTAGTTTCCAGCTCTCATGGAATCTAATCACACCTGAATTAATCATTTCCACAAATGGATTATTGTTTTCTATAAAAGTCAGCAAAGTGAATATATAAAAAGAAGACTTATTTCAAGGAAGTAACAAGCAGAAAGTCATGAGATTCATCACAATAAATGTTCAAGTTAGAACAGGTAAGTCTAAAAATGCAGACGCTTAATGGGAAATACCCAAATCCTCTCAACAATTGATTGATGGAGAAGGGTAGGACAGAAAAAGGCGGTTAGAGGTCAATTCAAGGTCGGTAATTGCATTTTAAAGCAGTCTATGCAGAGCCATTTCCAGCACTCAGAGTACAGGAAAATATTCTGCCCTGCCTTCTGTGCTCTTGAGTCCCTCAGATACCTCCTAATAATGGCTATAAAGAGAAATAAATCATTAAATTCTCAAATATAAACAGATAAATGGAAATTGTACCTATCACTGTCATCCTATAATCAACAAACATATATTATTAAAACATCAAAATGAAGGCATTTAGCAAAGAGATTTGCTAGATACCAAAAGCACTCAAGCCTCACTCTCAAGGAGTTATTTTCAAGTAGAATTTACAATAGTCTGGTAGCTCTGCACCAGCTCTTATTTATAGTCCCAAAATAGCCTAAGTCAACCTTTGCTGCCCTATTTTTTGAACAGAAATTGTGAAGATGCACCCTAAAAAGAACTATATTTTATGACACATGGAAGTATACTTTTCCACAGTTTGTGTAAAATGACCCTATGTGACCAAATAATTATGGTTCAAACTATACTCAATATGTTGCTAGCATTATTATTATTACTATTATTATTATTATTGAGACGGAGTTTCACTCTGTTGTCCAGGTTGGAGTGCAGTGGCGTGATCTCAGCTCACTGCAACCTCCACCTCCCGGGTTCAAGCAATTCTCCTGCCTCAGCCTCCCGAGTAGCTGGGACTACAGGTGCACGCCGCTATGCCCGGCTAATTTTTCGTATTTTAGTAGAGACGGGGTTTCACCACGTTGCCCAGGCTTGTCGGTCGCGAATTCCTGAGCTCTGGCAATCCGCCTGCCTCGGCCTCCCAAAGTGCTGGGATAACAGGCATGATCCAACCCACCTGGCCACTAGCATTAATTATTAATATAAACCTATTTTTGCAGAACTTGGCATTTATAAAATAATACCAGCAAATCAAAGATATAAGCTTATGAATACAACTATCTTAAACATTGTTAAAACTATACATAGGCAATGCTTAGAGAAAGCAAGTTACTGAAAGATTCTCATCAGAAGTCTTTAAATCCAAGCAAGATAGCAGAGACAAGGTTAATATACAAATTTATAATAAATAACATTCCAAACATCATTATTTTGCACTACCATTTGACATAATTTTGCTATCAGAGCCATATATATGGAGGGATGGAATTAAAATTAGGACTACATTAAAAAATTGATTTCTGTATTTCAATGTGGTAACATCACATGAATACCAATACATGCAACAGCAATATATTCAACACAATTGTTAACCACTCAACCAGTGTTCACTTAAAACCAACATAAAAACTACAGTATGGCCTATAAAAATAAGCCAGAAATTATTTTTATTCTTATTTCTAAACCGGGTCAACTGAAATAAAAATAGAAGTAGTGATGAATAACCAGCTTTCATTTTGCCTTCCTGTTATTCAAGGGGTAGAAATAACTCTGCTGGAACCATTGAGGGGGAGGAGAAGGAAGAAGAAGAAGAAGAAAAGAAAAACTCTTCTTTCAGCACTTCCTTCCGATTTCCAGTTTTTAAATTTTTCTAAATATTTTGTTTGAATATAAAATAGCTAACTGGTTTCTGGAGGCCTCATCCTGGGAAATTAACTCTAAAATCTATGTTCATACACATTTTTTGTTGGTGGCTGTGACTGTTTCTCAGCAGGAATATAATATCTTGTTCAGCACACACCCAGATTAAATAAAATTACATAATGAAGAGAGGATTTTTTTATTTCAATATTTATTTTAAGTTCTGGGGTACATGTACAGAATGTGCAGGTTTGTTACATAGGTAAACATGTGCCATTGTGGTTTGCTGCACCTATCAACCCATTACTTAAGTATTAAGCCTAGCATGCATTAGCTATTTTTCCTAATGCTCTCCCTCCTCCTAACTCACCCCCCCACAGACCCCAATGTTGTTGTTCCCCTCCCTGTGTCCATGTGTTCTCATTTTTCAGCTCCCACTTATAAGTGAGAACATGTGGTGTTTGATTTTCTGTTACTGAGTTAGTTTGCTAAGGATAATGGTTTCCAGCTCCATCATGTCCCTGCAAAAGACATGATCTCATTCCTTTTCATGGCTGCATAGTATTCCATGGTGTATATGTAACACATTTTCTTAATCCAGTCTATCATTGATGGGCATTTGAGTTGATTCCTTGTCTTTGCTACTGTGAATAGTGCTGCAATGAACATACGCATGCATGCATCTTTGTAACAGAAGGATTTCTATTCCTTTGGGTATATATCCAGTAATGGGATTGCTGGGTCAAATGGAATTTCTGGTTCTAGATATCTGAGGAATCACCACACTGTCTTCCACAATGGTTGAGCTACTTTACATTCCCACTAACAGTGTAAAAGCATTCCTCTTTCTCCATAACCTCACCAGCACCTGTTGTTTTTTGAATTTTTAATAATCGCCATTCTGTCGTGAGATGGTATGTCATTGTGGTTTCAATTTGCATTTAAGAGAGGATTTTTTTATACTTAATAAGCAAAGCAATGTTTATTTGCCCTCAAAATATGTTAATATTCAGGTGAACTCAAATCTGCCCATCATAAAAGCTCATTTTAAAGTCCATTTCCGTATGTCATTTGAATGCTCTCCCCAATGTTGTGAACTCTAGCTTCTTACTCAATTCAGAATTCTTACTTTTATGCCAGTTTTACCTTTAATAAAGATAAATATTATCAAATATTAGTGAACATATTTTTAATGTTTCCTGGATATCTTTAGAAATATATCCTAATTTAAAATACTGAATTACAATGGTTCCCCCTTATCTGTGGGGGGTACTTTCAAGACTCCCAGTGGATGCCTGAAACCATGGATAGTGCTGAATCCTATATGTACTATCTTTTTCCCCATATATACATACCTATGAAAAAGTTTAATTTATAAATTAGGCATGGTAAGAGATTAGCAACAATAACTAATAATAAAATAAAAATAATTATAATAATATACTGTAATAAAAGTTATGTAAATATGGTCTGTCTCTCAAAATATTGTATTGTATTCACCTATTTTTGAACCACGGTTTATGGGTAACTGAAATGTAGAAAGTAAAACCACTGATAAGGGGTGGACTACTGTATTATATTGATTTCTGCTTTCAGGATTTAAAGTGATAATCTGACAAAGTAGAAAAATAATTAATGTATTTCCAACATTTTGTAATTTTGTGTTCTTTTGTTTGAACTAAAACAACATACACACATACAAACATACAAATAAACTTTGTACTACAAGACCAGGACCTCACAACATATCAATGTTTTCATATTACTCTAATTGCCAAATACAGATTTTATAATTAGTGGGAATAAAATTAATGTACATGTATTCCATACAGAAATTTAACAATGTAAAGATGAACTTAATGAATGAATCATTTTAGATAGTCTACACAAGGTTAGACTCCAAATACCTTCAGCATCATATCACCATGGTGCCACATAATCTGAATGAAAATGGAAAATACCCAGACTATATTTAAATACTTGAAAATGAGGAAAAAATATCTGAAAAATTTAGACCTGATGATGTCTTAAATCTCACAAATTATCCAAAATTTTTGTGAAATAGATCCAACTGTATACATTAAACTATTTTAAACAAATATTGAAGTTAACTTAGATTGCTATTTTTCCTATGGTACTGTATCTGTCATATAATCACAGGAATTTAGAGCTACAATAGGTTGAGTATATAGATATTTGAGCCAGCCATAATTTGGTTAAAATATTAATTTTTTGTTTCATTTATTGCTTCCTAACACCTATGCTAATTATCACTAATCTATTCTTTGCATTGCATAATTGCTTCTATCAACTAGATTCAAAGCTTAAGAAAAAGAAGTTATTTTTTGATACCATATAATACCTAGAATAATATTCCTATTAAATATTTGATGATTGTAAATGAGTAAAAAATAAATATTTTAACAAAATGACTGTCAAAATTATTAATGTATATATTTTACCATTAAACGGGAACAAGAAATTGCAGTTTCTGTTTATATATGAAAAAGACCAAAGATATTAGATGAAATGATACTGATTGTTTTAAGGTAGTAATTTCCTAAGAAATTTTCCTCCATTTATCTTATACATTTCCTATACTATACACACACACACACACACGCACACACATATGTAAAATCCTCAACAATAAAAATTTTTCATACGGGGAATGATTTGTTAAAATATGCAATAGAAAAAACACTACTCTCAATAATAAATCATTTTATTTTTGACTTATAATACTTATATATATTTTATAGATGTTTCATACATAGAACGTGTGTAAAAATATTTTGCTTTATATTAAAAGAAAAGCTAAATGGATAACCATAGATGAGAAGTCACAGTAATATAAAAATTTTCATGTTTTGAAATTAATTTATAGATTCAAGTCAACTATAATAAAAATCGTACATACTTGGAACTTGGAAAAGAAAAATATCAGAGATAGAGAGTAGAATTATGGTTACACGAGGCTAGGAAGCACAGTGAGGAGGTGGATATGAAGAAGGGATGATTAATGGGTAGAAAATAGAGTTAGAAATAATATCTGATGTTGGTAGTACAATAGGGTGACTACAGTTAACATCAATTTATTATATATTTCAAAATAGCTAAAAGAGTAGAATTGGAATGCTCCTAACACAAAGAAATGATTAAGCCTTGAAGTGATAGATACCCTAATTACTCCGATTTGATCATTACACATTATAAGCTTGTATCAAAATACAGCATGTACCACCCCATAAATATGTATAATTATTATGTACTCATGATTAAAAATAAAAAATATCTGAAAAAGAAGGAAAAATAGGTATTAAAAATTTATAAAGAATTATGTGGAGAGGCTGGTTCTTTGAGCTATAAAGTATATAAAACTACAATTAAAAAAACTCTTACGTAAAATAGTCAAACTCACCAAAAGAACAAAATATCTAGAAACGATGTCAAAAAGATTGATGCATTTTGTGTATGATAAAGAATTCTCATAAATCAGTGGGGACAAAAACTTACTTAATAATGAACACTGATACAATCAACTATTTTTTTAAAAAATTACTTTAGCACTTTATTTTATATCCCACACACAAAATAAGTCCCAGATGATTGATGTAGTCACTGTCAAAAATGTTAGAAGTAAAAATAAATGTTTATTGAGAAATATGTTTATCTTATTAGAAGTAACTGAAATAGATAATGTTACAATGGCTAAGTAAATTATGTTACAACTAAATGTTAAAGTATTATACATAAACACTATAATTCTTAAATGTTTTGTTAATATGGATAATTGCATGTTTGGAAAGCAATGTACAAAATCAAATATGATCTCAACTTTATTAAACAGTATACACAAAAAGTGAGCAATACAACAAAATCATTAATTATCTGTGGATGTAAAATTTTAGCTTTTTTTATTTTTGAGGGTTTCCTTTTACATTGAGTAAAAAATTAAATACTGTAAGTTGAGGTTTTTCATACTGCATAGTATATGCAAAATTAATCTAGACAATCTGTTTTCCCTCTCTGTTAACCTTTACTTCTGGGTCCTCCCTGATGACTCCCAAGTTGATAAGGAAACATTCAATATTTTCATGGATAAATTATAATCACCACATTTCAAGCAGATGGTAAATGAGTCTGTTTCCTATTAGTGAATAAGTTTTAAAAATTGTAAAAAGTATATCCCTAAGTCTACATGTAGAAAAAGCAGAAATTCAGGTTGCTGTCATGACTTCAGACAGTACTAGTGATGACCCTGCCCACTCAAACATATTTGCAACTATTGGAACAGATTCTTGAAATTCCTCCAGTGGCGATGTATTTTCTTGATATATCTTTTAAAGGAGCTAATACATTTAATTCTCATTTGGCATTTGTAAGAATAAGAACAGAGTGAATATAATTTTTAAAACTTTTTCTGAGAACAAGTTGTGAAGAGACTGGGTTGACAAGAGAACATCCTCTGTGTAGGAAACTCATCAGAGCAGCCCTGTTCAGAGGAAAGATGAAGATGAAGGCTGGATGAAGATGTGGGAATAATGAAGAGGATCTCTTCCAAATGTCCAACTTTGTCAACTACAGATCCTGACAACACGCAATTCTAGACCATCTATCAATGAAAGAAATTCATACATGAAGATGTTCTTAGTTTTGTGAGCTGATACCATAGTAACTTTTATAAGCTCTGCTTCATATATATTTATGAATTTTGGAATTGGACTTGGAGGTAGTGTGAAAGCACCCTATTTAAAAAAAAAAGAATGACTATAAATTAATATTTTGAAATGACCGTTTTAAGGCTCAAGTATATAAAAAAATCTTTGAAGCCCGGTAGCAGGAGATTGGGAGAAGTTTTCCAAATACAAATGAAATAATTCATTAAAATTCACAGCTGTCTTTACATTTAATATTAATTTTAATTGAAATCCCAGCTTAAAAGCACCATGTCTCATTCTGCCTATATAATGGTTAAGGCATGCTGATACTAAAAATTAAATAATAATTAAAGGCTAGATTCTATAGGTAGCCAGAATTAAGCTGTATTTTTTCAGAAAGAATAAATGTTATTATGTTGTTAACTATGGAAAAAATACTTCTGTAAGTATAGTAAGTTCAGTGTACCTCATAAGTTGTAGTTACATTTGTTTTTATTCTTGCTTTGCAGAATATTTTCTTCCTCTCTGTCTCTCAAACACATACTTTAAAAAACAAAGAAATTTTAAGAGATTTGTACACATCTTCTTCTTGATCAATTTTGCACGTATTCGAACGCTTTCAATTAGCACCAGGAACAAAGTCCTGACTGCTTTCAAGCCTCCACCTGTAATTCCACTTGGGTTGACAACACAGAGATTTACCTCTTTATCTATCAAATTCACATTGGCAGTTGCAAAGCATACTAAAATGGGATTTGAGAGACCAAAGTAGAAATCTCTCCTTGAATATGACTCATTATAATTTCTTTATAATATACATGTGAAACAAAATCATACCTAGAATAATTTGGCCTGAAAAGAGAAAAGAAAATCAACTTGTCTTCCCTGTGTGCTTATCGTGGTTGGCTCAAAGATCATAAAAACATACACTACCAATGATGCACAATTCATGCATTACCCAGCACAACTTTACATAAGCCAAGTTCTACATTAGTCTCTTTATAATCCTGCAACAGGTCCAGAAATGTGTGCCATTTCAGGAGAAAAGCAACTTGTGGAAAGAAACATGTTGTGTAATTTTAGTCTATTTCTGATCTAAGTAGTAGATAACATTTATCTAGTATTTACTATGCACCAACTGTTGTGCTAAAACCATTAATTGCTGTTTTTTCATGATTTAAAAACCTACTGCGAAGTTAATTTTACAGATGAGAAAACTGAGGCACATTGGAGGAGGTTAAGTGACATTGGGCCACACAACTGGTAAAAACTTGACAGGTTTCACAACCAGACAGTCTGCCACCAGAGCCCACACTCTTACCACATGCCTCAGAATGAGCTAAGTGCTGCAGCATGCTCAGTCTCCCTTATTTCCATGATTTTGTGTTCGTATTTCGGAGTGCCAAAAAGAGGCACTTGTGGATGAAAGACTTGTTGGATGAATTTCCACTAACAGGACTGCTATCATGCCGTTGGGTCTAATGTTTGAAAAATTCAGTTTCCTTTTTAAAAAATGAATAAAAGGGAGCCAATCTTCTCATTAAACTGAGAATACTTTAAAAAAACACATTAATCCAAGTTTCTTTTATATTATATGCTAATGTAAATAATAAATAGTTAATTTTGTATGCTATTTTTTTATTTGCAGGACTGTGGCCCAGATAAAATTTTCATTTGTGGTATTATAGTATTAAAATACCATTAGCAATATTTTATTATCAATACCTCTATCAGTACTAGCGGTACTAATGCTATAATTAATTGTATTAACAATATAATGAATTTTGACATAAATACATTTGCCAAATGTGACTTGATGGACAAATGATTTAGATGGTAAAACAACATGGTTTCAACTAATGATGGGATAACAGGTGTCAAGGCGCACTGAATCTGACAATTGCTACCTGAACACTGACAATTTCTTTCTTTCCTTTTTTTTTCTTTTTTTTTTGAGACGGAGTCTTGCGCTGTCGCCCAGGCTGGAGTGCAATGGCGCAATGGTTGGCTCACTGCAACCTCCACCTACCAGACTCAAGCGATTCTCTTGCCTCAGCCTCTCAAGTAGCTGGGATTATAGGCACATGCTACCACGCCCAGCTAATTTTTGTATTTTTAGTAGATGCAGTTTCACCATGTTGCCCAGGCTGGTCTTGAACTCCTGACCTCAGTTGATCCACCAGACTCAGCATCCCAAAGTTCTAGGATTACAGGCGTGAGCCACTGCACCTGGCTGACAATTTCTTTAAATACTAAATAAAGGGGGTGAAAAACTTCCTTATTGATAATGACAGGTAAAACCATGCCAAGTTGGAAAAAAAAAACATTTCCTAAGATAGAGGTCTATATTAATACCTGACTGTTTTTTATTTAAATGGCAAACAACCCATTTTTCTTACGATGATTTAGGAGAACGATTATCATGAGTACGGCATTAATCTGGCCTGGATTAAATATTTAAGAGTATTTTGGATGCTGGCACAACCTTGACCATTTGACAATATGCATCAACATATATTTTCAAATCCTTTGATTGAATAATTCTGAAAAAGAAATCAACAGAGATACATAGTAGCTACATGTTCAAGATTACTCATCAAAATCTTGTTTATATTAGTAATAATTTGTGAAAGATATAAATGCCCAACAGATACACAGGCAACGTTAAATAAAAAGTATGTGCATTTATATATGCCATGGAATACTATGCAGCCATAAAAAAGGATGAGTTCATGTCCTTTGTAGGGACATGGATGAAGGTGGAAACCATCATTCTCAGCAAACTATCGCAAGGACAAAAAACCAAACACCGCATGTTCTCACTCATAGGTGGGAACTGAACAATGAAAACACTTGGACACAGGAAGGGGAACGTCACGCACTGGGGCCTGTCATAGGGTGGGGGGAAGGGGGAGGGAGGGAAAGCATTAGGAGATATACCTCATGTAAATGACGAGTTAATAGGTGCAGCATACCAACATGGCACATGTATACACATGTAACAAATTTGCACGTTGTGCACATGTACCCTAGAACTTAAAGCATAATAAAAAAAAAAAAAGTGGAAGTTAAGCCATGAGTACACAAAGGCATACAGAGTGGTATGATGGACATTGGAGACTCAGAAGCAGGGAGGGTGGGAGGAGGGCGACAGATTAAAAACTGCATATGGGTACAACGTACACTACTGGGGTAATGGGAGCACTAAAATCTCAGACTTCACCACCACTATGCAATTCATCTGTGTAACCAAAAACCACTTGTACCCCAAAAGGTATTAAAATTTTTCAAAGTGTGAAAAAAAAAAGTATGTGCATTTATAAAATGAATTCTTAAACTATTTACAATTATGTTCCTAATGAATACTTAGTAGCCTTGGGAAATTAGATATATGAAACATATATAAAAAGCATAATTTATATTTGTATAGGTTTTAATAATGGGTGAATTTTATCATTTTTCTTTATATCTTTTGTAATTTTTTTCAAATATTCTATTTTAAATATAAAATTCCATTACAATAAGAAAAAGTAAATGTTATTAAACCTAAGATCTAATAAACATGTGACAAATCAAAATGAGTTATATCAGGCAAAGATTGATTCTATTAAATTATGTATTATGCTCAAAAAATATATTTGCTTAATATAGTTTTGACATAATTCATAGCTAATGTAGTTTTTAAAAATCATCTAATGTCACCACAACTTCATAAAAAGATTTTCATGGACTCTAGGACATTTTGTGTTTAACTGCATTATAAATTGCCGAATTGATTTAACATTTAATTCTGAAGGCATACTCTAAATATTATGCTAAAATATAATCGATAAAATGTAATCAGATTATTTTACATTAAACAAAATATAATTTTACAAATCGCTCCTTTTAAATGTACACAATAAGCAATCTTGAAATTTTCCTATCATGAACTAATTACTTCTCAGGAGTCACTTCACTCTCAAATTGCCAGTTTTGAAAATTTATCTTTAGTGAAATGCCAACTTGTATTTTTTCATTAATCACAAGCTATGGAACTTACCAAGTACATCCCAACAAAAGCAGGAGTTTAGGGAGATGAAAAGCTGAGGAAAAAGAAGAGGGTGAAGAAAGAGACTACACTAGACAAGAGATGTGAAGGCTTTGCATCCCTGGGGAACAAAGTGGACGCACTGTGTGTATCTGGAACCCAAAGACTGGGTCTGCAAAGAAAGAAAACAAATCCCTGCTCAAATTCTTCTTAAGGTCCCTGAGGGCCCAGTAAGGAACAGGGAGAAATGATCCTCTTCACTTTTAACCCTGTATCTCATCCACTTCATTGTTTCTATCGATGTTTCCAGATCAAGAAATGTACTAGACCAGGTAGCCGACTGGTACACAGAAGGGCTGGTGGGTTGACTCCACTAGTATATTGCACAAGCAACATTACTCTGCAAGCCCCTCACTGATTCATCATTTTTCTTCCACATTGAATGCGGACCTCCTTGTGGTTCCTCCCTCTCTCTTACCAGCAGTCTTTCATTGGCCAGCATGTTCAGCAGCCCCTGCCTCATGAATACCTCTCAGGTCTTTTTTCTCATTTTCACCTTCACTGACACTGTCTGAGTTGTGATGTCCTTACCACAGAGAAAGTACAGTGTTGCCTCCCTCCTGAGGCCTCTCCTTACCTCATCTCAATCTTTTCTAGGCTATTCTCCACACTGCTGACGAGATAATCTTTTGAAAAATCAAAAGTGATCATAAAAATCCCTAGTGAAAAATCCTTCAATAACACTCCAATTCCTTCAGGATAAACCCTCAAATCTGTATTATGATTTGTAAGTCCCTTCAATAGAATTATATCACATACTTGGAGACATAGTATGTGAGAGAAAATGAGTCAAGTTCAGCTTTAAGTAACTTCTCTAAAATTCTACAACCAAAATTTGGAAAGAAGGTATTCTCATTTAGTGTGTATGTATGTTTACATACATACATACATACATACACACATATATGTTTTAAATATTTTTTTATGTTTTAATTAAAGGTTAGTATTATTTTTATTTTGTATTACATGTTCAGGGTAAAAAAAAATTAGAAGTGCTTAAGCCTTCTGAATGGAATGAATTCTGCTCTGCCCTTTCTGAGATGACTTGTTCTATTTCACCAGATTTATCTCTCTCTAACACCCTGGCAATTCTTCACCAGTCTTTCTTATTCTAGAACATACAGTGTTCCCTCATGCCTATAGAACTCTGTCCTTTCTCCCCCCTGACCAAAATGCTCATTTCTCCCTTCTTCTGGAAAAATACCCATGAATTCAATAAATTTGGTGCAGGTACACCTCTCCAGAATGGCCCCCTTGGCTCAGGCATCAAACCACACACTGCTGTAGGTAATGCTCCCTACTTATTTCCTGCCATACAATCTTTGCTAACCACAATACCCAGTATTTATCAAACTTCCCACTCAACATTTAATATGTCCTTCCACTTACTTGAAAGAAGAATTTGATATGGTTCACTACAAAACCTAGTGCAATAACCACTGGCTGGAGCAGGGGAAAGAGGCAAGGCAGGCAGCTTCTGCACTAGTGCCCTGAGATCACTGAGGCAAAACATGGGGTTCCAGGGTACTACATCATGTCTTGTCATCTGCTAAGTCCCCCTTGCCTTCTGAATCACCTCCCTTTTGTCTGCCAAGATTACAGAGTAAGGAGATTTCACTCTAAATTAAGTACTTCTTTCAGTTCATGAGTATCCAGTAGTTTCCGTTTATATAAAATTTGCAACTAATTTTCCCAAATTAACATAGGATGTAAGTAGAAGTCAACAATTTTATCTCTTACTAATGAAGCCGTAGGTACTGGCCAGGCACAGTGGCTCAAACCTGTAATTCCAGCACTTTGGGAGGCCGAGGTGGACGGATCACGAGGTCAAGAGATCGAGACCATCCTGGCCAACATGGTAAACCCTGTCTCTACTAAAAATACAAAAATTAGCTGGGCGTGGTGGTGCACGCCTGTAGTCCCAGCTACTAGGGAAGCTGAGGCAGGAGAATCACTTGAACCTGGGAGGCGGAGGTTGCCTATGTAACTACCTATGTAAACTAATGCAATTTACTGGCTGACGTGTGCTGAAGACATAAAGATTTCAAAATACAGCACATATAGCCAGAAATCCAAGAAACAGAAAGTAAACAAAAGGTGACATTTGTCTCTCCAAAAATTTAAGTCCTCTCAAATAATTGATCAATTAGGAAGTTACTAGAACGTTGCATTCCAAAAAGTTTTCAACCAACAATAAACATTCTTCATTCACACAAAGCATAATATACTCCAAATCAGGAGTCCTAAATAATCTGACTCCTTAATTGTGACACTTAAACTCTGTGAGTCTCAGCTTCCTCATTATTAAATTAATTTGCCTTTCATTTAGGTCCTTTTCCAGATCTAAAATCTTATGATTCAAAACACACAAATCTGTGATGGGTACAAAGGGAAAAGAGGTTTGCAGAGGAACCAAGAGAACCTACAAATTAACTATTATTCCCATTTTTAAGACTAAAATATTCTAAATATATATTTTTAAATTACATTTTTTTGATAAAACTTGGAACTAAAACAGTATATTTTCAGTAAAATTCCATTTTACAATTAAATATAATTGTTTTAATCCTGTGCTAAATGCAAAATATTGTACCCTCCTATCATTGCCTCCCTTTCCTATTAGGAGTACTTCCTTTTGATTAGTAACGAAGCCACAAAAGTCTTTAGTATCTGAGGAATAAATTTATATACAGTGTACTTTTTGGTACCAATTAGAAACACAGTTTGTATATAATGTAAGTCCCTTGCCTAAATGATGTTTTAATGAGCATTGAAGTATGCTGATCCAAACCACCTATTTTAGTTTCCTAGAAATTAATCAGCTTTTTTAAAAACATAGAGCCTTCTCCCACTTCCACTCACTGAAAAAGAATTCAAGAATATGTGTGCATACATGTAGTCCTTACCATTAAGTAAGGATTTGTAGAATGAAGGAATTCAAAAAAAAGAATAAAATGTTTATCTCTTTAATGCTAATCCATGTATGAAAGCTAGAAAATAACTTGCCAACTGAATGATAGAATGGTAAACAACACTCATTTCGAAGTATATCAAAGGACTGATGACACAAAAACAGCTATGGAAAATAGAATCATATTCTCTCCAGGCAATTGAAGAAAATGTCAGTACTTTGACACTTCTGTAAGGGCTTAGGATAAATAAAGTTTTTTCCCCAGTACTTTGCCACTTCTATAAAGACTTAGCAGAAATAAAGCCCTGATTTTGAGAATTACTCAAAATAAAAATGGTGTAATCTCACAAGTAAGGACCAAAATGATTGTGAGAACTAAAACTGCTAATCAACTGCCAATTTGTATGAGTTTTGCTAAACACTCTTGGGAAGGAATTGCTTCATAATTTCTTCTCTTCATCTTTTTCCCCACATACTGATGTCAATTTTGTACATTTGCTTATAATAAATGTTCAATTGATTTTGCATTTTGAGAAAGAAGGCCAGAGTTTGCAAGAAAAATGTGTTTAAATCATGGAAGAAATAAGGTTTTATCCATACTAGTAAGCCAATACTTATTACCAAGCTATTTAAAACTATTTTACTATGAAGGTTTTAACTATTTGCCATATGAAACAAATGCCTCTGGTTTAGTGAATAAAATAAATCTCAAAAAATCTGCTTATTATAAGACTTCCTACATGCTACAACCAAAAATCACTCTGGACTAACCACTTGAAGAGGTATGGAAGTTTCACTTCCAAATTTTTTTTTCACTGGTTCATTAAAAATGTACCTGTTCCACATTTGAATTTAACATGAATACTGAATTTTACATTTTGAATGAGAGAGAGAGGATAGAGAATGAATTTTTAAAATTCAACTTAGGAAACTCCAATGGAGCATGAGGAACTCACTAAGTCAGGAATAACTTAGGATGCCCTAAAGTTGGCAGCTGCCCATATAATATGATTTGTAAGTCACCCTGCAGAACCCTCCTGAATAAAATATCCTCTTCACTATCTGAAATACTGCCATTAGAGACATGATAGCTTTTCAGTCCTGAAAGATTCTCTACAAAACTTGAATCCACTGGAAAATAAAACACCTTAAGCCATTATCCCTTATTCATATATAGCCCAGAATTGACAACTACTTGAGAGTGAAGACCCATGGACCCGGCACAAATATACAATGGGAATAAGGACAAACAGAAGCCCAGATAACAGCATCAAACATAGAATTTATCTACTTTTCTACTTAGCTGGGGGCCAGTCCAAGAAGTGTACTCCCAAATCTACCGTCAGAATCAAAACTAAACCTAGGTCACCTCTCAGATCTTTTTCTAATGTTCTGGATTCTGTTACAAACCCAGTCAAGTGTGGAAGAGTAGTGATCCCTACCATTTGATACAATCAGGACAAATCCTAAATGTAATAAAAACACATGAAGCAGGCCAGGCACGGTGGCTCATGCCTGTAATCCCAGCACTTTGAGAGGCCGAGGCAGGGGGATCATGAGGTCAGGAGTTTGAGACCAGCCTGGCCAACATGGTGAAACCCTGTCTCTGCTGAAAATACAAAGTTGGTCGGGTGTGGTGATGAGTGCCTGAGATCCCAGCTACTCAGGAGGCTGAGGCAGGAGAATCACTTGAGTGTGGGAGGCAGAGGTTGCAGTGAGCCAAGATTGCGCCACTGCACTCCAGCCTGGGTGACAGAGCAAGACTCTGTCTCAAAAAAAAAAAAAAAAAAGAATGAAGCAAATTTCAATGGATATCAAATAATATTATTGAAGTAATAGAAAGATAAATATTATGTCTACTGAATTCATGACTATTGCTAGGCTCAGAAATTAGAATATTCACTCCCTAGAAAACGCTAAATTTCATAAATCCAGAATTTTGTGTCTTCTTTAAATCTTCAATTGCAATTGAAATGCAGAAAAATATTATTTCACATTTTGACAAAAATTCAAATTATCAGTATGAAATCAAAGAGAGCAAAATGTTTCCATATTCAAAATCAATAAATGTTGTCTTAATGTATAAATCTACTCATTTTAAATACCATTTATCTAACAAAGCAGTCATCATTCTATACTTCAAATTTTCCAAGATAAAATTATATAAAGTATTCTATAAAAATAGCAAGCAAAGCCTAGATCAATTAATACAATATTACATTTTGAATCTATTACACTTGCCTTATTTCTAAGAAACTGTGCCATTTTATCAACCACAAACATATATATGTGTGTGTGTATAGATATATATATATATATTTTTTTTTTTTTTTTTTGAGATGGAGTCTCACTCTGTTACCCAGGATGGAGTGCAGTGGCGTGATCTCCGCTCACTGCAAGCTCCGCCTCCCGGGTTCATGCCATTCTCCTGCCTCAGCCTCCCGAGTAGCTGGGACTACAGGCGCCCGCTACCACACCCGGCTAATTTTTTTTATTTTTTAGTAGAGACGGGGTTTCACCGTGTTAGCCAGGATGGTCTCGATCTCCTGACCTCGTGATCCGCCAGCCTCGGCCTCCCAAAGCGTTGGGATTACAGGCATAAGCCACCACGCCCGACCACCACAAATATTAAAAAAAAAAAAAAAAAAATCCTAGGTTGTTTACTGATTTGTTTTTTTTTTTTTAATTTTGAGATAATTGTAAATTCAAATGTTATTGCAAGGAATATAACAAAGAAATCCCATGTATCTCTTACCCATTTCCTCCCAATAATATCTTGCAAAACCACAGTACAACCAGAATTTTTATACTGTTTTAGTTAAGATACAGAACATTTTCATCACCACAATGACCCTCGTGCTGTTTTATAGCCATGTGTTGCTTTTTTATAGCCATACCCACTTCCTTCTGCCCCACTCCTTCCTTAACCTTCGGCCACCCCTAATTTATTTCCTATTTCTATAATTTTGTCATTTCAAGAATGTTATATAGATGGAATTGTAAAGTATGCAACCTTTTGGGACTGATTTTTTTTTCTTTTTTTTTTTTTTTTTGAGACAGAGTCTCCGTCTGTCACCAGGCTGGAGTGCAATAGTGCAATCTCGGCTCACTGCAACCTTCACCTCCTGAGTTCAAGCGATTCTCCTGCCTCAGCTGCCCAAGTAGCTGGGACTACAGGTGTGCGCCACCATGCCCAGCTAATTTTTGTATTTTTAGTAGAGATGGGATTTCACCATGTTGGCCAGGATGGTCTCGATCTCTTGACCTCGTGATCCGCCTGCCTCGGCCTCCCAAAGTGCTTGGATTATAGGCGTGAGCCACTGTGTCTGGCCTAGGGAATGACTTTCTAACTCAGCATAGTTCTCTGGAGACTATTCAGATTGTTGTATCAATAGTTTAAGTTCTTGTTCTGAGTATTCCACGGTATGGATGTACCACAGTTTGTTTAACCATTTATCCACTTAAGGACATCTGGCTTATTTCCAGTTTGGGTCTATTACGAGAAAAAAAGCTGCTATAAATGTTTGTGGACAAGTGGTTGTATGAACAGACATCTTCATTTTTCTGGGGTAAGTGCTCAAGAGTGCAACTGCCAGGTTATATGGTACTTGCATGTTTAGTTTTTTTAAGAAATCATCAAACTGTCTTCTAGAGAGTATAATTCTTTTCCTACATTGCTGAATTCTATCTGATAATATTTCTAAATGATTTTTGTATCTGTATGGATGAGGAAAATTGGTCTGTAATTTTCTTATATTTGTACCGTCTTTGTTTTGTTTTGATATCAGGGTAATGCTAACTTCACAAATGAAATTGGGAAATGCGCCCTCATCTTTTGTTTCCTGGAAAAGACTATATAGGATTGGGGTTAATGCTTCAAATGTTTAGTAGAAATTTCCAATTAAATAATCTGGACCTGGAATTTTTTTGTGGGAGTTTTAAAATTTTAAATTCAATTCTGTAATAGTTGCAGAACTATTCAAATAATCTATTTCATATCATGTGAATTACGGGAGTTTGTGTTTTTTGAGGAATCGTTTTTTTCTACTTTGCCGAATATATGCATGTATAGTTGTTTGTAGCATTTCCTTCTCTTTTAATTTCTACAGGATATGTACTGATATGCCTTGTTTCATTACTGATAGTGGTAATTTGTATCTTTTCTTGTCTTGCTACAGATTTGTTAATGTTGAACTTTTTTAAAAAGTTCCTTGTTTTATTGATTTTTCTCTACTTTTTTCTGTTATCAATTTCATTGATTCCTGCTCTTTATTATTTTTTTCCTTCTACTTGCTTTTGATTTATTTTGCTCTATTTTTTTTAGGTTCTTAAGGTAGGAGCTTAGATTATTAATCTGAGACGTTTTCTCTTTTATAATGTAGGCACTTAGTGCTATAAATTTTCCTCTCAGCATTGCTTTAGATGAGCTCCACAAATTTTTATATGTTTTACTTCCATTTTTATTTAATTCATATCTTAAAATTTCCCTTGGGCCTTTTTTGTTAACTCATGGATTATTTGGAAGTATGCAGTTTAATCTCCAAGTGTTTGGAGATTTTCCTGTTATCTTTCTATTACTAATTGCTAGTGTATTTCCATGTAGCTAGAGAACTCATTCTATATGATTTAAGTGCTTTAAAATGTGTTGGAGTTTGTTTTATGATGTATGATATGTTATTTCTTAGAATACATTCCCTTGCCGCTTGAAAACTATGTAGACTCTTGTGTTGTTGGATGAGGGTTTTATAAACGTCTATTAGATCCTGGTTATAAAACTTACAAATAATTTTTTTCTCTCCATAAACAAAGCATGTTCTTTCATTAAATCGGGGAGTTTATATCACTTTCTTCATAGATATATTTGTTTTTGAAAATTAATGTTATCTAACACACCTCAATTTCAACTTTCTAACTCTATCCTCTGAGATTTTATACATTATTAATAGTATATATGAAAGATTATGACTCACACTTCATAAGTTTTAGAGTGTTTTTCTAACGTGTTCTTCACACTACTGCTTTTGAAACATTTGCCTAGCATTTCCATTTCTGCTGATGATTAAACTAGTACACAGAGAGATAAGCCACAAGACCTTGCAAGAGACTTGACCTATGATTTAAACTCCAGGTTCACATTCTTTCCACATCTGCACTTCAGAAATTTAGTTATCTGAATTAATATAGCAAAGTGTTTGGATTTAAGCCCAGACTCTGAAAATTACTAGTTAAATTACTTGTACAAGTTATTTAAGTCTTCTAACTCAGTGACTTTACCTTTGAAATTGGAATAATGATACTAAATACCTCAAAGGATTGTGTAAGAATTAAAATATTTAAACCATGTGAAGGACTTACAGATCAGTGCCAGGCACAGGGGATACACGCTATGTATGTCAGCTATGATTACATATCACTTAGGATACATTTAGGTGGGATTGCCATCAAAATTCAGCATGTCGAATTTTGTCTTATAGTCTCTAATTTGTCTTATTTTGTCAATATTTTTTAAACAAATAAAGTAAACCAGCAAGGTAAATAAACCTAAATGGAAAGCTCCAATCTTTTTTATTATATAAATTATATAAATATATTATATATTATATAATATAAATATATATAAAAATATATTAATATTATATAATATAAATATATAAAAATATATTATATAATATAAATATATATAAAAATATATTATATAATATAAATATATTATATAATATATTAATATTATATTATCTAAATATATATAATATAATATAATATATTATATATTATATAAATAATATAATATAATATATTATATATTATATAAATAATATATATTATATAAATAATATATATTATATATTATATAAATATATATTATATATTATATAAATATATTATACATTATACATTATATAAATATATTATACATTATATGAATATATATTATATATTATATAAATATATTATACATTATACATTATATAAATATATTATACATTATATAAATATATATTATATATTATATATTATATTATTATATAAATTATATAAATCTTTTTTATTATATAAAAATATTTCGGCCAGGCACAGTGGCTCACGCCTGTAATCCCAGCACTTTGGGAGGCTGAGGTGGGCGGATCACGAGGTCAGGAGATCAAGACCATCCTGGCTAAAACGATGAAACCCCATCTCCACTACAAATACAAAAAATTAGCCAGGCATGGTGGCGGGCGCCTGTAGTCCCAGCTACTCGGGAGGCTGAGGCAGGAGAATGGCATGAACCCGGGAGGCGGAGCTTGCAGTGAGCCGAGATCCTGCCACTGCACTCCAGCCTGGGTGACAGAGCAAGACCCAGTCTCAAAAATATATATATATATATAATATATAAAATACATATATTATATATATATTTTATTTGTATTAGGTTAAAGGGCTTACTCCTCTGTTTTTTCACGTATCATGCTTTATAAACTTAAACAGTCTATTAAAAACTGGTTCAGCATACAAAAAATTTTGATCTTCAACACTTTGTCATATTGCAACCCCCTTAAATTGTTTTAGAAAATTGTGAAATAGAGCACTTGCTATTGTGTCAGAAAACAAAACATGCTTAGACCTCAATAAACCACAAAAGTCCGTGAGCATGATCATATTTTAAAAACTTTTTAGCTGAATAAGAAACGTTGAACATCTTCACTATACATACTATATAATACATGGAAAAGATTCCTCTTTAACAAATAAAATTAATTTCCAAAGTGTTTTATGATTATATTTTTCATTAATATCTGCATTTATAATGTGACACTTGGATTATATTATTTGTTAATATAAAAATGTAAAATAAACATTGAAATGCCTCATATTTCTACATTGTTATTAAGGAAACAAATTGAGAATAAGTTAGATAGTTTATTCACTGAAGAAAGGTAAGATAAATCTCTCTCAATATGCTTTATATGGATGTCAAACTCTTCACTCTAATCTTAGGGGAGTCATGACTTTGAAGTGCTTAAAGGATCATAGCTTCTTCTGTTTACTAATACTATAATTAAGATACTCAGAATAAAGATCACTAATACTAATAAAATTTTGAGAAGAAATGCTCTACTTACAGTAAACATTGCAGAGACACAGTAGGAGGTACTTTGTCTTTCAGATGCACTACATACAATCATATTTATTAGTGTATTGTTAATGATCAAGTAACAAAAATAGAAATGCATTAATCATCTGCTACACATAAAGACTTGCGATAGACACCAAGGGAATGCAAAATTCTTGCCTTGATGGAGCTTACAGTCTCGATAACATGACAACTGTAGGTTCTAACAGCGAATCTTAAACTTTATATATCTGTGGAACACTTCTGAATATTAGAATTTTGGATGGTATATATAAAGGGAATAAATGACTAAACATAACACCAGTTACATTAAATAGTCCCAAACTATTTCACCTGTTATTTCTTATCATATGTTCATTAAAAAATTGCACATCTAACTCTCTGCTCTCTATGATCATCCTTTAGCGTTTTCTTACTGAGAAGAGTTACCTTCCCTGACCAACTACTCTTTTATACTCAAGGGGAAACCTCTCATGCTCAAGAAAACATGTAATCTTCCTTTGTTGCTGACTTGGTGTTATACTATGTCTCTTGACTCACAGAGACTATGAGTTAGTGTAGAAAAAAAGCTATAATGAGCTAGACTAGTTGGCAACTATTTCACACAAGAAGAGGTATTCAAATCAGGTCTGAAGAATAAATAGAATTTGGATAGGAAAGAAAGGATTTACAACAGCAAGAGGAGTGTGAACAAGGAGTGGAAAAACACAAGACATATCTGAAGGCCAATGAAATACATCTGTAGGGTTAGGCTGGCAAATTTGATAACTTGAATAGCTTACAAAAACGCTAACCATATAAATTAAATACAAGTTTAATAGGTTAAAAGTATCAGGCAAAGGAATTTCAAATCTCTTCTGTAGACAAAGGAAAGTCATTGAACGTGTATAGGCAAAGCTTTGGTTTGGTGGCAGCTTGATGAAGGAGGTGGGAGGGAGAGTGGAGGCACGCAGAGTGGAGGCAACGAGATACTGACAGCAAGGACACCAGGCTAGAGGTGATAAGGATCAAAACAAGGATTATGAAAGAAAAAAAAATGGAGACAAAAAAGATTTAAGGAAACAAATAAACAAATATGTTTTAACATACAGTAGATTTTTTTGTTTTTTTTTTTTTTGAGACAGAGTTTTGCTCTTGTTGCCCAGGCTGGAGTGCAGTGGCATGATCTTGGCTCACTGCAACCTCCGCCTCCCGGATTCAAGTGATTCTTCTGCCTCAGCCTCCTGAGTAGATGGGATTACAGGCAGGGGCCACCATGCCCAGCTCATTTTTTTGTATTTTTAGTAGAGACAGGGTTTCATCATGTTGGCCAGGCTGGTCTCGAACTCCTGACCTCAGGTGATCCACCGGCCTCGGCCTCCTGAAGTGCAGGGATTACAGGCGTGAGCCACTGCGTCTGGCCAAAATACAGTAGATTTTTTAAAGTATCTTTCTAAATGTATGATACACTTGCAAATCTTCTAAGATTACATAAATTTTTAGATATAATCCATATCTACATCTAGAACATGATACATACTCCATAAAACACCTCTAACCATACTTTCTTCTGCTGCTGTTGTCGTTAAATCCATAAATCTTAAAGAAAATCCTGGAATTGTTAACATGCTAAAGCCATTTTGAAGAGGTTTATAAGAAAGCATACTATTTTTTAAAATCTACTCATATAACAGAAGCTAGACTATAATTTACTATACTTATTATATTAAATAATGTTTGCTTAATTACTAAAAGAATCTCTGATATTCTAGAGATACACAAACACACACAATATATTTATATCCATCTATCTAAACCTATCTATCCAAAAACTGTGTCAACAATGTTGCTCAATTAAAAAATAATATAATTGGCAAAAAAAATTGTTATTTTCAGATGCTGGCGAGGTTGTGAAGAAAAAGCAACACTTATACACTGTTGTTGTGAGTGTAAATTAGTTCAGCTACTGTGGAAGTCAGTGTGGCAATTCCTCAAAGACCTAAGGACAGAAATACCATTCAATCTAGCAATGTCATTACTGGGAATATACCCCACAAAATATAAACCATTCTATTGTAAAGACACATACATGTATATATTGCAGCACTATTCACAATAGCAAGACATGGAATCAACCTAAATGCCCATCAGTGATAAACTGGATAAAGAAAATGTGGTACATATACATCATGGAATACTATGCAGACATAAAAAGAATGAGATTGTGTCCTTTGCTGGGATATGGGTGGAGCTGGAGGCCATTATCCTTAGCAAACTAACACAGAAACAGAAAACCAAATACCGCATGTTCTCACTTATAAGTGGGAGCTAAAGGATGAGAACACGTGCTCACATAGAGAGGAACAACACACAGGGGACCTTTTTGGAGGATGGAGGGTGAGAGAAGCTACAGGATCAGAAACAATAACTAATGGGTACTAGGCTTAATATCTGGCTGATGAAATAATCTGTATAATAAACCCCCACAACACCAGTTTACCTATGTAACAAACCTGTACTTGTACTCCTAAACTTAAAATAAAATTTAAAAAACTGTTATTTTATATATGAAAAATTTATATATTCTGGATATTGGAATTATTCTAAAACAACAAATCAATACACACAGCGATATACAAACACATAAATTTTACTCATTCATTTTTATAGTAGTTTGGAGTCCCCTTTTTACTAAAAGTACAAAATATTAATATTTGGATAATTTTGAACATAAAATACTTAGCCATTTTATAAACATGAACAAACATGGATTTTTGCATTTATTTATAGTTACCTTTCAAGGTCCTTTACTAAACTGATTAACAATAGATTTTTCCAGTTATTAAAATTAATTAGCATAATAGCTCCTCTTATTTCATAGTTAAATATAAGCATTATTTCTATACCACAAAAAAGGAACATAATCAATTTCAAATCACTTTTCCTTTTTATATATCCCATGAAAGACAATCATGATAGGTTATAGCTCATTAAAAACAACCAAAAAATAATTTTTACAGTAAAGATATAAAACAGGAAAGCTAATATGTCAACGTTCTATTATATATTTTACCTAGAAATGGATATAAGTCCATTTTAAATATTTCTACAAAGAAAATAACACCATAGCTAAATAAATCTGCATCACTAGTGATTTACCTACTAATTCTACATAGTTGGATATTCACCAATAATGGAAAAGAATTTCAAATGCCAGAAAGAATAAAAACGGATAGAAAAATATGATCATAGAAAATAAACTAAGTATTTTTACTCCAAAAACTGACTAGAATAGGTATGGTATAGTGTAAATTACACCCACTGACAGTTGATGAGTGTTAGTTAGCTAATGTATGTGGAAGTGAAGAATAATTTGAATGGTATGTGTTTTACTTTTGGCACAAGAAACTGTGACATTTCAGTGCCGCAGTGGCTGAAATCTGTTGCTTCTAAGAATAAATCTTCCAAAATTAACTTTGCCAATCACGAGGCAATCCTATCACGCACTGCAAAAAATTCCAAATATGTTTATTTCAGAATCATCCTCTCCAGAGATATTCTGAAATCTAACATTTCTTAGTAGACATCTAAATGCTCCACTGATAAAAGCTTAAACTTGAATAAACCCACACTTTTTTTTCTGAGGAGATAATGTCACTACTTCATTTTGTGACTCAGAGTCAAAAGAACAACATGATTTTAATCAAGCAAAAAAGTAGATCTAAGACAATTCAAAGAACTGTATTTTAAAACTGGGGAAAACGTTTTTGTTAGAGTTGAAAAATTGTTATATGCCTTGTAAGGTTCAAGCATTTTCAGCATGGGCAAGAATAAACATAATGATAATAAATAAATATAATAAACAAATTCATTTAGTAAATATCACTTGATGTGCCTGTGAGAAATCAAGTTATAAGTATGGTACTTGTAGATTCTAAAATTGGATCAGAATTATCAACTCCTGCAATTATTTACATATCTCATGACCTCAAACCTTCAACAAAAAAGGTCAAAATATTTGTCTACGTGATTGAAAAATCATAATTTTTGCAAAATTTTAATAATTTTCCAAACCATCCACCTAACAACCCAATGCAGATTATATAAACAATTTAACTCAGAATTAAGTGCTGCTTCTCATTTGAATGGTTATTATATTTCATGTCTTTTACATAATTTTCCCTCACCATCCCTGCCACAACACACAAATATATAGAATACTAGGTTGGTGGAAAAATACAGACTTCGGAATTTGAAAGTTCTGGGTTTGAATTCTACTTCTGCCATTTTGTGATATCAGGCAAGTTACTTAAAATCTATGACATTTGGCTATTTCAACTATAAAACTGAAATAGCAATATTCACTTTATATTATAATGATAATGTAAATTATCTCCTAAAGTAATTTTCACTGAGTAATCATACAATCAATACACATTGGATACATTTCTTATTGAAAAAATAAAACTCTTGATTTTTTATATCTAGCTAAAATATTATTTTTGCTTTCTTAAAAAAATCCTTGTAAATTCAACTTTGATATAGTTCATTATGATTTTTCTAATTATTCAGAATGAATAATTAATTACTTCTGATTGCACATTGTATAGCTGTTTCCATAATTCATCCAAGTGATGGGTGGTATTTATTGCAGAAGAAACATAATATCTACTTTTTCTACAAATCTGAGACATTTATTAATTTGTATACCAAAAATGGTATGTTTATTTCCCTTCCTGAGATATTTTACAAAGCTGATCACTATAATATTGATTGGCTATTTTGAGAAGAACATATTGACAAGTAAATATCATAGAGAAGGCTTTAATGTAATAATTTTGGGAAAGTGTCTATACTATGAATCTTGCCAGATCTATAACCACTTGGTTATTTTTTTGCCATTGTTAAAAAAGCAACTATTGTTTTTGAGAAGATGCACTAACTGTAATCTACTCCAATCTATTTTTAACTTAGCTCGCAATTAACTACAAAACTGGTAGGAACTCTTATTTTTAAAAACTAGACATTTTACTCCTGTTGTTACTACATTATTTTTCCATGAGCTTCGTAGGGCTAGTAATGGGGGGTAAAGTGCTTACAACAGTGGCCAGAATATAAGAAGCATGATATAAAATTTTGACCAATAAGACCTTCAGGGATCATCTCCTTACTTCCCACCTCTAGCAAGCAGCCAACCTCATTCTCTTCTATTACAGGAAGAAAAGCTATATACAAAAATCACTATGTATTCCAGTATTTAGGATATATACTATTATGAGTCTGTCAATTGTCTTAACCTATGCATACTTAAAATTAGAATCTCAACTAAACAAAAGTCAATTTCTAACTTTGCCAAACCATAATAAATACTTCATTTCAATATTGTGTTCTGCTTACCAAATTGTCACAGAAAAACAAGATGATCACTAAAATTTCAAAATAATTGTATATGCTTTAATATAAAGATTAAGAGTAAATCACAATATACAAAACAACAACAAATGCAGAAAATACCTTCCTCACCATCATTATTTATTATGTAGTTACAAACCAATTTATTGTACTAAGCTGTCTCATGGGTTTCCTCAAAAATAAATCTCATTTACCCCAAATAAAGATATTTGCCTGTACTTGGTAAAAATAAAATTACAATTTCAGAAATGTCAATGCATTTAAGCAATGATTGAGTCCCAAGATTCATCTAAAGGATTGTGACCCAAAGATTACTTTTTAAAGTTGAAAATTGTTGTTCATTAAGTAACACATTGAGAACCTCTTGACATTAAAGCCTTTTATTCTCTAAAACATATATTCTAAACAAGTATAGTAACAGTGCAGGAAATCTGAAAAAGGGAACAACATTTTCTTAATTTACCTGTAAATATTTTAAGAGAGTGTTTTAGAAAAATAAAGACTTTAAATAAAACTTGTTTGATTAAATTTGTATATGCACCATAGAAATGTGAGTTTACATTTGGTCACACAAGTAAATTCAAAAGTCTTATTCGGTCTTAAATCATACTTGATTATGCTTTAAAGGAAAATATCTTCTTTAGGCGGAATAAGCAAAGTGATTTTTTCAGTAGATCTTTTCTCAGCCATTTAATAATATACGCAGAGAGTTCACCTTCACTTTTCTTTTACATAAATCCATGAACCAGATTCTTCACTAAGTTTTCAGTAATACACAAACTCCTTCAGAGATTTACTTCATATAGCTTTCATTTTCAGTCATAACAATATTACTGAGGCACCCAAACAAAATCATACTATGGCTAAAATAATTGTATCACCTGGCTATAGTAGCTACCTAACACTTGAAATTAATATTTTCATAAGCAATCAAAAAAAGCTGATTTTAATTATCTTAAAATATATCTATATTTTTTCTGAATTCAGAATTAAATATTTTAAAGTTTACAATATAATAGTGGAACTTCTGTGACTTGTAGATTATTCAGCACCTCCTTAAAGTTTCATTAAATTTTACTTTTTCTATTGACTTGAGATCAAAGAAAGAAGTGACACAACTATGCCATAGATCAAAACAAAGACCTGGAAAAAGTCTTCTAAGTCTTGGGCACTGCCCTCAGCCTTCTCAGTAACATGAAAAAATTTGAGAGGTACTCAATAGATACCTGTCAGTTGAATATGTGAATAAAGAATGAGCAAATAAATCATCAAAAGGCAGAAATTCAAGATCAGAGTTTTCAGTAGCAAGATCCTAAATATTCCTACTATAGCACAAATCTTATCAGTGGAAAACATTACTTTTACACATCAATTTTCAACATGGATAGAAGTTTAAACTAAGCAAACATTGACTTGAATATAAAATATAGGACATGTTCTACAGTATTAGCTATGATACAGATGACAAATGATCCTTATGTTTAAATAATCCATGGTCTAGAATTACAAGAAAGCAATACATCACTTAACAAAAATTTTATTGTTTCTCATGGAATGTGCAAATTCCTCATCCTGACAGATATCTCTGCACATTCTCAAATCAGAATATCCTCCATTTTCATGGCATTAGCCACATAAATACACTTACACCAGAAGCAAAGTCTAATTGCTACAGTAAGTCAAGTTTATGAAAAGATTTGGGATCATATCCCTGCGTATTAGCTATTTATATATCCTCAGTCCAATTACTTACAAGTGAATCTTAATTCTTACATGTTAATCTCATCAGAATATTATAAGTGTGTAATGAGAAACTTAAACAAAACAAAACAAAAAAACAATAAAATACTAAGCATCTTTCATGGCTGTGGTTCCCAAGCAGAGTGCCAATGAACCCTGGAAAGTTACAGTGAACTTGGAGGGACACTATGTGTATTCTGAATTTTCAAAAGAATCACAGCAACAGCCACTGGACACGGACACTGTGCAAAGTGCTATTTTGTTGTTTGAATTGAAGTACTAAATAAAATGAACTGTTAGATATTTAATTTTGACTAGGAGTACTATGAAAAAATTACTGAGAACTAAGTGTGCCATGAACCAAGAAAGATTGTAAATCTCTGGGGCTTTCTCTCTGTTTCAACAAAGCTGCCCTATATACAGTATCTTCTTATTTGTCTTTTCTCAATTTATTTCAAAGCTAAACTAGTAGGTTCCTTGCTTGTAAGTAACAAAAACCTAATTCTGACAAATGGGCAAGAAAGGTTTGTTTGTTTGGAGTACAGAATAGTTCTCAAAATTAGCAAGAAGTTAGAGAAACATTTCAAAACACAGAGAGGAAACAAGTAGACTAGGTCATAGGACCCACACTAAAGAGATCGAGATGCAGAAGCAGCCATGCAAGAATGCTGTGCTGGCACAATGGCCACTACAACTCTCCTCACTGCTGTGGCTGAATTCCATTACCAAGGGCAAGTGTGAATCCTACACTGCCACATCTTAGCATCATTTGAGGTGCTAAGTCCCATGGGGGAGTCTCAGTAAACAAGCCTCACTTGAATGGAGTGAGGAGAAGGAGCAGCTGCCCTTCTTGTGTGTAGTGTGAGGCAAAGCTGTGTCTGCCGCTAAAGTTACCCTATGGAGCATTATCCTCAGCTGAAAAAATGTCAGGATTCTGGAAAACCAAAACAATACATCAAGTGTCCATCACAAGAGGCTTGCCCACCTTCAATGACAGCTCAAATTCCACTCTGGCGAAGTAAATACTTTGATTTGCTCATCAAACCCCTACTTTCCTTATATTTGCATGATGACTTTTTGAAATATTTCTACTATAATAATAACTACTCTCTTTTATTAGCCATTTTTATGTGTTTTCCTATTTCACTGGATTATGAGTTTTGTGAGAGCAGATGTCATGCCATTCTTTTAAAAAAGATCTTGCACAGCATTTAAAATTTTAATCAAAATTTTATATGAAATAATAAAATATCCACATAGAAAAGGAAAATATAAGTATGTTTTATTTCCTATGATTATTCAGTTTAATAGGCTATAAAAAATTTAACTAAGTCAACATTCCCAGAAGTATGTCTCAAGTAACACAAATCCTTGGGCATATTTATAAAAATAAGTATTAATATAAGGTATAAACACCCTTCATTGAAGATTCCTCAATATGTGCATTAGTGACATTCAAAAATTCTGAGTCATCTCTCTAGTAAGAAAAATATTTAATTTTATTTAATCAATATGATCTAATATATCAAACATATGTGCTCATTAAGTAGTGTGATTTATGACTTTTACCCAGTCTTATAGAACACTTAAGACCATCTATAAGCCTGTGGATTTTTACCTATCTCTTTCAGATTCTTTTTTTATTTTTAACTTTTATTTTAGGTTCAGGACTACATGTGCAGGTCTGTTATACAGGTAAATTGCATGTCACAGGGTGTTGGTGTACAAATTATTGCACCGCCCGGGTGATAAGCATAGTACCTGATAGGTAGTTTTTCAGTCCTTACCCTTCAAAATAAATTTATTATAGTCTATTAAACTGAATAATCATAGGAAATAAAATGTACCTCTATTTACATTTTCTATGTAGAATATCCATCCCATTGGAGTTAAGTGTTGTAAGGAACAAAAATTAATATTGAGTCAAAACTAACACGAATTTATTTCACTTAAGTCCATCCCTCCATCATTTGTCAAATGTACAAACTACAATAACATTTGCTTTCTTAGGCCTTAGCTGAGATTTAAATATGACTTAAGTTATAAATTAATCATGACCAAAATATCTATTGTCAATTATTAATCCCCTGTAAAATTAATTTTGAGTTGGTATTTTGAATTATATATATTTAGGTACAGATATACTCAGTTGAGTTTATTAAAAAACTTATTTCTTGGAAGATAAATACTTAACTAAAAACTAAAACCAGTTATTAATAATAATTAATACTAATAATTTATTAATAATTATATATTAGTGTGCACATATATAGAGAGAATATAAGAAGAGAATATGTGCGGTGGCTCACGCCTATAATCCCAGCACTTTGGGAGGCCAAGGGGGGCAGATCACGAGGTGAAGAGATCAAGACCATCCTGGCCAACATGGTGAAACCCCAAGTCTACTAAAAACACGAAAATTAGCTGGGCATGGTGGTGCACACCTGTAGTCCCAGCTATTCGGGAGGCTGAGGCAAGAGAATCGCTTGAATCCAGTAGGCGGAAGATGCAGTGAGCCAAGATCGTGCCACTGCACTCCAGCCAGGTGACAGAGTGAGACTCCGTCTAAAAAAAAAAAAAAAAAAAAAAAAAAGGAAAGGAAGAAAGAAAGAACTCTAAAGTTTCAAATTATAATAGTTTTTAAATATTCTTTGGCAATAGTTATGGCCATTGATAGGTGGCCATAGATAAAGTACTACAGTTTATATAAAGTCAAAGAAATTGTGTGTTTGTGCATACATGTGAGAGAAAAAAATCTCTAAGAATACATTGACTTGAGAAAGAAGTAAAAATCATGATTAATGAGGCAAGTAATGTGTTTTCCTTTCCTTTGTTGTTATTGGTATGAGATTCTAAGTCCATATTTACTTAGTCACTTTTCACATTACAATATTTTAACTGTTATCTCAGCAGATAGCATCTATCTACCTACTTATCTATATACCTACTTACTTATCTATCTGTAATAATTAAGACATATGCCAGAGAAATAGAGATACCTTCACAAGAAAAGTTTAACCAGAAATTGCCATTTTAAAAGTTCAATTTCCCACTGTATGTGCTGTCAAAACTTAAATAAAATTTTATATACAAATTTTATATTTTAAATATAATATTGCTCAAATGAGATAGAAAATATTTTCTAAATACTCAATGCAAGGACACAATCCTGAAACAGACTGAACTCCATCCTTAGTTTTTAATCATTAAAGTCACAAAGAGATGAATGTTCAATATTTTTGATGAGCTACTTTGATTGTATTTCTTTGTAAACTACATTCCACCTCCTCATTTTTTTACCTGGGTCAGGATTAATCAATATACATCATAATTATATAATGTAATTATATTATCAATTAATGAAAGAGATTATATTATCATTCTAATGGTAATAGTAATATGAGCTCTTTCATTAATTTTCAACTTAATCACAGTGATGTATACAAAATGTACTGGAGTTAGAAATGTCTGTGGCTACCTGAAGTAGCTCTAAAATAACTACAGGCTGGTGCAAAAGTAATTGTGGTTTTTGACATTGAAAATAATGGCAAAAGCTGAAATTGCTTTTGCATCCACCTAATACTTGGAAAGTTTGGACTCTTACCTAATTTTCTGTGTTACCTGTTCACTGTCTATCCCCATTTTCTCTTTTGGCCTCCTCCTCACTTTGTTATGCCTATAAACAATAATCACAGATGGAAGTACTGGCCCCAAAACTCAAACTCAGATGCCCACATCTATATCCAAACCTTAATCCTGTTCCTTGCCAGACTGACTAGAAAAAATGCCTACAATTTTATTTGACTTTCCATGTGTACTAAGCAAATCCTGTTTTCATTCTACAACCTGTCCCTCTAGTGTTCTTAATTGATTGCTTTTCTCTAATTATACTTTCATCTTAGACTGATTTCCAAAAATATCTGCTGGGTACATGATGGAGTTGGGAAGTGATATGTTCCCCACTCTTCATTGCCACTTTTCAACCACTGTTCATCCCTGACAAACTACTCTCCTCTTTGAAATCTCTATTGTTTAGTTATCCTGTCAATCTATGAATCTCTCTGACCTTGATATTAACGTAGTTGATCTTTCCAGCTGTCTGGCTTCATGGAAAATAAAACGTATCAGCTCCAATGACAGTTTTCTGAATTATGTTTTAGCTACCTACCCATATGCTACTTCTGTGACATTAACATTATACTGTTCACATTCTAGCTGTTGACTCCTTGGCATGATGCTATTGACAGCCTCTCATTTTCATATATTTTTAAAAGACTAAAGACAAAAAGCAAAGAACAAAATGAATATAAATCCATCATTCTAATCCATTTATTTTCACCTAAGAAAAATGTCTTTCCAGCCCTTATAAATTTGTACACTTAATAGCAAAAACATTTTATTTAATATAAGTATATAATTTCTCCAAATAATAATCAGCTATTATTTTAATGGTTTCATAACATTACATCAAATTTTTGAAAGGCAGTTTTGCAGATAAATCTCAAAATTTAGAGCCAGACTGTCTGGGTTAGCATTTTGATTCTGAAATGTACATTACATTGGGAGTTTAGCCACATCTCTGTGCTCAGTTTCCTCATCTATAAAATGAGGAGAATAAAAATATATGGTTTTGGATATTTTGTGCTTGGAACCTGGCCCCCAAGCAGGTTCTCAGTACATACTAGATTATACAACTTACAATGTACCATGTTTTCTTTATATAATCATGTCTATTGCTGTAAATGTAGGCCTTTACAGTGTTTAAAATTCTTGCTACTAAAGAAAATACTGCAATAAGCATGCAGCTTTCATCTACAGAATAATTTGTATATTTAAATTCTCAAGGATGATATTAAGATCCGAGAACACAGATGCTCTTTACATGCCTTTTTTTAATAAAAAGATTTGTAACAATTTATAATACAGCTATTAATATGTCAATTTTATCACCATATAGTTGACACTTAATCACTTGTTTTCCTTAAATATGTCTCTTTTCTTGTTTTCAAAATGCCCTCTCCTAGTTTTCCCTTTTTGCCTAATCGCTCAATATGCCATGTTTTGCCTTGTTCTTCTTTCCTGACAAAATTTGTCCTTTCCTAACTCTCGGGTCATATGTTTCCTTTCTATGCCCTTTTCTTTGTTATCACAATCCAATTTCATAACTTTGACATCATTTCTATTCTGATAACATCCAAAATAAAAGGCTGTCCCTGAAATATCTTCTGAGAATTAGACTTGAGTAATCTAACTTCCCTATGAACACCAAAATTCCATTATACATGAATATTACTCCAACTTTACTTGATTTTACAATTGCTGCTTCAATATCAGGGTAAAAAGTATAGAGTTATATTTATCTGTCCACTTCCACACATGCAGTCAGTTGCTAAACCCTGTCAAACCCATCTCCTCCACTAGAGAAAATTATATGAGCTAATTTCCTATATAGTCTGGTTCATTTAGCAAAGCAATGATAAAATTACAAAATAAGATCAAGCACTGAATTGTAAATTTATATGGACTTCTTATTACTATCCCAAATAAAGAAAATGATGCATTAATATTTTAGTGTGGAAGACCTTAAAGGAGAGATGATGTCAAAAAGAGAACTTCTCATACTGCTTTCACTCACTCTCCTCCCTTCCATGTGATTTGAGATGAATTTATTCTGATTTACATCCATATGTCAATGAATTATCACTATATACTTATGTATGCATGTCCTGTGACAAAATCAATAGACATTCTCTCCTTCACAAAAT
Source organism: Homo sapiens (assembly GCF_000001405.40). Classification (NCBI taxonomy): domain Eukaryota; kingdom Metazoa; phylum Chordata; class Mammalia; order Primates; family Hominidae; genus Homo; species Homo sapiens. The sequence goes on from NC_000007.14 coordinate 83,111,185, forward strand.
TTTATTTTATTCAATTCAATCACTCAGTTACTGTAGCAGGCAGAATTCTAAGACATATCTTTCTACCCCCAAGATTTCTGCCTTCTGGAATACACACCTTGTTTAATTCCCTCCAGGTGAGTGTGGGTGGAAACTGTAAATATTATGGGATATTACTCCACAATTAGGTTACTAATCAGTTGACTTTCCAGTAAATCAAAAAAGATACCATCCAATTAGGCTAAATCTAATCAGGTGAGCTCTTCAAAGGACCGGAGGAGCCCTTTCTCCAGTGAGGGTTTTAGTGTGAAAAGGATCTTATGTGACAGAAATTTTCATGACTGGCTTTGAAGGTGGGGAACCACAAGAAAAGGAATGTCAGCAGCCTCCAAGAACTAAGTGGTTCCCAGCTGAGAGTCCACAAAGAAACTAGACCTCATTCCTACAACCACAGTAACTAATTCTGCCAACAACCTGAGTAACTCCAGATAGGAACTAGACCTCGAGTGCAGTCTTGTTAAGATCCTGATTAGAAAGTTGTGCCTTACCATGCTGAACTTCTGATCTATAAAACTATGAGCTATTGTTATAAAGTGCTAAATTTGTGGCAACTTGTTACATAGCAATATAAAATTAACATTGTTGCAGAAAAAATTTACTTTGTAACTTAATGTCTGCTTTTAAGGGGGATTCTATGTTTAGATTAAGTTTAAATGCTCACTTTTTAAGGTAGAGCAAATCACATCATTTTTAAACATACAAATGATATGATTGCTTATTTTTGTGTAAGTTAAATGACATCTATCTGTCAAAAAGTATATTTATAATTTCACTGAGAGTGACAGAGTATTTTAATTAGGAAATGTCTGGGTTTTTTTGTTGTTTTTTGTTTTTTTGTTTGTTTTGTTTTTGAGACAGAGTCTCGCTCTTATCACCCAGGCTAGAGTGCAGTGGCACGATCTTGGTACCCTGCAACCTCTGCTTCCCGGGTTCAAGCAATTCTCCTGCCTCAGCCTCCTGAGTAGCTGAGATTACAAGTGCCCGCCACCACACCTGGCTAATTTTTGTACTTTTAGTAGAGATAGGGTTTCTCCATGTTGGTCAGGCTGGTCTCGAACTCCTGACCTCATGATCCGCCCACCTCAGTCTCCCAAAGTGTTGGGATTACAGGCGTGAGCCACTGCGCCTGGCCTGATTGTATTTTTTTAAGAACGGGAATAAACTATTATAACAATCTAGCTACTGGGTATCATTTAGTAAAATAGTAATCATAATGACAAAGCTTTTTCTTAATCCAATTTTTTTAGATATACAAAAGAATGAATAACTCATGTAAATGTCAAGAAAGAAAAGAAATCTCAGACCACAGCTGACAAATGAAGCCATTTAGCCATAAATTTCAGAGAATATTTCTCATGTCAGTATATTCTTGTTGGTAATGTCAGCAGTTTTCTAAGGCTTTCCAAAGTATACTCATTTTAAGCCAATTTATGACAAAACTTCTCTCCAGAAAGCTCTTTTCAAAATCTTAGAGATATTTTCCTTCCTTTCATACATAAAGAAAGCATTCATATTAATATGCCATGAGAGGAAAAGCTCATTAAATAAGTAAAAATTAGAAGCAGTGTTGACATCACAAATGAAAGAACACAGCAATGCATGTGTTTTCATTTTAG